>NC_000004.12:82709259-82860774 GCF_000001405.40 Homo sapiens | reverse complement strand
CAGGCATGATGTTTGCTTATGCCTGTAATCCCAGCACTTTGGGAGGCCAAGGTGGGAGGATCACTTGAGGCTATGAGTTCAAGACTAGCCTGGACAACATAGTGAGACCCTATCTCTAAAAAAAAAAATAAAAAATTAGCCAGGCGTGGTGGCACATGCCTGTAGTCCTAGCTATTTGGGAGGCTGAGGTAGGATCACTTAAGCCCAAGAGTTCGTGGTTGGAGTGAGCTATGATCACACCATTGCATTCCAGCCTGGGTGACAGAGCAAGACCCTGTCTGATTTAAAAAAGAAAAGAACTAATTTTGAGAATATTTAGACAGAATTGTAAGATACATAGAGAAATGTACTTTCATTTATGTACAACTAGACTATGTATTATCAAATAGAAGATCATTTGGGAATGCACTCATGAATAATAGGTAAGAAATATATGCATTTAATGAAATAGTAGTCATCAATGTGTACTTTTGGTTCTTTGAAAAAATGTGTTTAAGGAGGTAAAATCTTCCCCTTTGTCTCAATGAGCTATTTGTTTCATAGTAGCTTACACATTGAAGGCACTCAATACCTAATAAATTGTGCATTTTTTGACCTTATATCTCGTTCAGAAGTCCATAAATAAGGATAAATTGTTTCTAGAAAGCAAATTTGAGAAATAATGAGTTAAAAAAAAGAAAAGTGGCCAGGCGCAGTGGCTCATGCCTGTAATCCCAGCACTTTGGGAGGCCGAGGCGGGCAGATCACGAGGTCAGGAGATTAAGACCATCCTGGCTAACACGGTGAAACACCACCTCTACTGAAAATACAAAAATTTAGCCAGGCGTTGTGGTGGGGCGCCTGTAGTCCCAGCTACTTGGGAGGCTGAGGCAGGAGAATGGCATGAACCCAGGAGGTGGAGCTTGCAGTGAGCTGAGAATGCGCCACTGCACTCCAGCCTGGGCGACAGAGCGAGACCCTGTCTCAAAAAAAAAAAAAAAAAATATTTTTATGCAAGTTTGTTAATGAATGTAATTAGATCAGTGTCTCTGATTTATTCCTTAATGTGAATAACTTAAATTCTTAATTTCTTTTAGTTTTTAAATTCCAAATGCTTCTCTTTAGTTGGGGAAAGGGAATTAGGGTTATAGATATTCTCCTGTAATAGTCAACATTAATAATTAAGTGTATTTGCAGATGGTGCAGTGCTGTACTCTGCATTAAAATTACCCAGTTCTAAAATGCCACTGAACTTGAATACTAGATATTTACATTCAGATGTGTAGATAACATAGCACAGAAGACAGATATTTCATCTCATGTAAGAAAGCTTTGTTTTTCTTTAAAAATTTATCTCTAATCTCTGATATATTTTTGTCTTATTTTGAATTTTTATGCATGGGAGAGAAAGCATTTAAAATTATTTGCCAGCAAAATGCCCCCATTATATTTCTTCTAAAGAAAGCATTGAGTTTATTTTTAATCAGTCTTGCAGGTAGTCTCAGAAATTTATAACAGAACTGTGTATATTTTTACCAGACTAACCCACTGTTCCAGGTATGACTAATTTGAGTAAACACAAAATGTATACTTGAATTTAAGTGTATTAATAAATAATGTACTTATATTACTTTTATGTTATGGGTACCATGTGATTTTTTTTTCATTTTTTTTTATGATTCAGTTAAAAACAAAAACACTTTATAATCAAATCCAGTGGACAGGAATTCTTAGATGTGTAAAAGTAGGTTTGTTTTAAAATTTAAAAATAGTATAATTTAAAAATATATTTTCCGGCCTGGCGTGGTGGCTCACGCCTGTAATCCCAGCACTTTGGGAGGCCAAGGAGGGCGGATCATGAGGTCAGGAGATCGAGACCATCCTGGCTAACACAGTGAAACCCCGTCTCTACTAAAAATACAAAAATTAGCCAGGCATGGTGGTGGGCACCTGTAGTCCCAGCTACTCGGGAGGCTGAGGCAGGAAAATGGCGTGAACCCAGGAGGCAGAGTTTGCAGTGAGCCGAGAGTGCGCCACTGCACTCCAGCCTGGGTGACAGAGTGAGACTCTGTCTCAAAAAATAAAATTAAATAAATAAATAAATAAATAATATATTTTCCATATTTTGAGCCACTCATAGTTACCTAAGAAAACAAAGATTCTTCAGCCTCATTACTGAGATACCAGTAATGAATATGTACATGTTAGTTTATTTAATAGTGTTCTTTTTTTTTTTTTTTTTTTTTTTTTTTTGAGACAGAGTCTCGCTCTGTCGCCAGGCTGGAGTGCAGTGGCGCAATCTCAACTCACTGCAACCTCCGCCTCCTGGGTTCAAGTGATTCTCCTGCCTCAGCCTCCCGAGTAGGTGGGGCTACAGGTGCACACCACTGCCGCCAGCTAATTTTTGTATTTTTAGTAGAGACGGGGTTTCACCATGTTGGCCAGGATGGTCTCGATCTCCCGACCTCGTGATCTGCCCGCCTCGGCCTCCCAAAGTGCTGTGATTACAGGCATGAGTCACAGCACCCGGCCAATTTTTTGTATTTTAGTAGAGACGGGGTTTCACCATGTTGGCCAGAATGGTCTTGATCTCCTGACCTTGTGATCCGCCCACCTCAGCCTCCCAAAGTGCTGGGATTACAGGCACGCACCACCATGCCCGGCTAGTTTTGTATTTTTAGTAGATATGGGGTTTCACCATGTTGGGCATGGCTGGTCCCGAGCTTCTGACCTCGAGTGATCTGCCTGCCTTGGCCTCCTAAAGTGCTGAGATTACAGACGTGAGCCACTGTGCCCAGCCTGTTTAACCAGTATTCTTCATGACCTTGGATTTTATTTATGATTATATAATGGGAGGTAATATTTAGGGAAGGCATAGATCTTAGTTGTAAATTTGGATCTGAGAACTTTTCTGGAATAACTTGGTATGTCATCTACTCTGTAGATGAAGAATCATGTGTAAATTTTTTTTGTCAGTAAATCATTCCACAGTTTTATTCTGGCTAAATTGTTGCTTTTTTCATCTCTTTAGCACATTAAAGAGGAAAAAGAAGAATCTGAATTTCTACCCTCATCTGGAGGAACATTTAATATCTCTGTCAGTGGGGGTAAGTACTTGTTGGTTTTGATTTCTAATTTTTTTTAACCATTGGAAAACAAATAGTTCCTGCATTTAAGTTAAAATGCTTCAAGTCAGGTGCTGTGGTGCATGCTTATAGTCCCAGCTACTTGGGAAGTTGAGGCAGGAGGATCACTTGGGCCCAGGAGTTTGAGGCTATCCTGGACAACATAGTGAAACGCTGTCTCAAAAAAAAAAGTTTTATCACAGGTGGTAGAGTGTGAGAAAGAACTCACTTTTCCTTTAGTACAGTATATGTGATCAGTGCCTTGGGAAGGCTGGTGTGTTCAGACACCTAGGTGATCTTTGATAATCCAGTTAAAGCATCTGGAAAATGTATTATTTTGTATTTATCTCAGCATATTTCTGTAGACCTCTTCCATAAATACCAATAGCTTGTGTTAGAAATTAATCCACTAGTAATCAGAAATTAGTGTTGTGGTCTCCATTCATGTATATATATAAAAATTGATAGATGTAGTACTTTGTTGTTGGTTTTGGTAACAAAAACTCTATTTAACTTGGATGTATTATTTTCTTGTTGCAGACATTGATGGTTTAATTACTCAGGCTTTGCTGACGGGCAATTTTGAGAGTGCTGTTGACCTTTGTTTACATGATAACCGCATGGCCGATGCCATTATATTGGCCATAGCAGGTGGACAAGAACTCTTGGCTCGAACCCAGAAAAAATACTTCGCAAAATCCCAAAGCAAAATTACCAGGGTATGTTATTTTAAAAATAAGCAATAACGTATTTATCTTTCTAATTATAAAAACAATACACTGTTATTATAGATAACTGAAATGCAGAAACCAGTAAAGAATTTTAAAAGCTCATTCATAATTCCTTGACCTGGAAATAGTTGTTGGCATTTTGGCATGATTATTCTAGTTTTGTTGTTTTTGTATATATTAATAATTTTAAAGACGGGGTCTTGCTCTGTCACCCCAGCTAGAGTCCGGTGGCGTGATCTTGACTCACTGCAACCTCCACCTTCTGGGTTCAAGCGATTCTCCTACCTCAGCCTCCCAAGTAGCTGGGATTACAGGCGTCCGCCACCATGCTTAGATAATTTTTGTATTTTTAGTAGAGATGGGGTTTCACCATGTTGGTCAGGCTGGTCTCGAACTCCTGACCTCAGGTCATCCGCCCACCTCGGTCTCCCAAAGTGCCAGGATTACAGGCATAAGCCACCGTGCCTGGCCTTATTAAATTTTTTAATTGCGGCTGGGCGCAGTGGCTCACGCCTGTGATCTCAGCACTTTGGGAGGCAGAGGTGGGGGGGTCACGAGGTCAGGAGTTCAAGACCAGCCTGGCAACATGGTGAAACCCCATCTCTACTAAAAATACAAAAAATTAACCGGATGTGGTGGTGGGCACCTGTAATCCCAGCTACTAGGGAGGCTGAAGCAGGAGAATCGCTTGAACCTTGGAGGCAGAGGATGCGGTGAGCCGAGATCACGCCATTGCACTCCAGCCCGGGCAACAGTGCAAGACTCTGTCTCAAAAAAAAACCCAAAATTTTAATTGCTCTATAATATTTCATGGTAAGAAGATGTAATGTTTCCCTTATTTTGTTATGTTTAGGTAGTTTCCAGTATTTTCCAAATAGAAATAAACACGCTTGTTTATATAGTGATAAACACCTTTGTTGTGCCTAAAGACTTGTACAAATTTCTGATTATTTAAATTGAACTGTAGTCATAGAAGAGGAATTTAACTTTTATTTTAAGTTCAGAGGTACATGTGCAGGTTTGTTATATCTAACAAACTTAAGAGTAAACTCGTGTCATAGGGGTTTGTTGTACAGATTATTTCATCACTCAGGTATTAAGCCTTGGACCCATTAATCATTTTTTCTGATTCTCTCTCTCCTCCCACCCTCCAATAGGCCCCAGTGTGTGTTGTTCCCCTCCATGTGTTCACATGTTCTCATCATTTAGCTCCTATTTGTAAGTGAGAACATGCGGTATTTGGTTTTCTGTTCCTGTGTTATTTTGCTAAGGATAATGGCTTCCAGCTCCATCCATGTCCCTGCAAAGGACACGATCTCATTCTTTTTTGTGGTTACTTGGTGTTATTTCTACATCATAAAAAAAGTAATTTTTATTGAAATTAGTTTTCATAAAAGTTGTACCAGTATTGAGTCCCATTAGCCTCATCTCATCTCAGTCTCTCCTCGGTTATCTTTTAGCCACAGTGGCTGCCTTGTAGTTCCTCCCTCACTCATTGCATGTTCCTTTCTCACTGGAACTTTGCATCTGTCGTTCCCTTGGCCTGGAAGGCTTTTTCCTTCTTGATGAAGTTAATTCCTGCTTGTCCTTCAGATCACGTGTCAAAAGTCTACATGCTTGGGCAGTTTTTCCTGATCCATCTGACCAGGTCACACCTTTCTATTAAAGGTTCTGATAGCACCTTATATTTTTCCTTCTCAGCACTTTATGAAATATGTTGTCAGTTGTTTTTGTTGTTGCTGTTGTTTCTTGAGGAACAATAATACCATTATTATGTCATTTGATTCAAAATTATACTTCATTTTGCTGCTGCATTTGGCATGAAATACTTGACACAATTAATTAGTCAGAATTAATTTTTATTGCTATGTTAAAGACTTTTAATTCTTCCTTTGTTTTCGTTTCTCAAGCTCATCACTGCAGTGGTGATGAAGAACTGGAAAGAGATTGTTGAGTCTTGTGATCTTAAAAATTGGAGAGAGGCTTTAGCTGCAGTATTGACTTATGCAAAGCCGGATGAATTTTCAGCCCTTTGTGGTAAGAGATGTGCTTTATATTTAACTGCATTTACATACGTGGCAGGGTATATTGTAAATAAACTTAAATGACAAATTTTATTAGAAACTTTTTAAAATCTACAAATCACAAAAAAGAAAAATTCTCATTTCAGTGCCTTTCTCAGATTTATTAAATACGTCTTCATACCTACTCTTTTTTTTTTTTTTTTAAATCTACTAGTGATTTTGGTTTCAGACAGACAAGAGTTGGAATCTTGCCTCTGCTACTTAGTAGCTGTATGATCTAGGAAGAACTACTTTCTAAGCCTCAGTTTATTCATCTGTGAAATAGACCATAAGTAACTCTCACTTAATAAATATTAGCTATGATAAAATTAATAATAACATTAGAATAGAAATTACCATTATAGGCCATGACTAAACTGGTGGCCAAGGAATAAATATTTGCAAGAAAAGCTTAAGGCTACTAGTATAAAAACAAATAGCCATTTGCTGCCTTGAAATAATTATAAGAATATAAAAATTACAAAATACTAACTGCTTTTTTTTTTTTTTTTGGAGACGGAGTTTTGCTCTTATTGCCCAGGCTGGAGTGCGATGGCACAATCTTGGCTCACTGCAACCTCCACCCCCTGCGTTCAAGTGATTCTCCTGCCTCAACCTCCCAAGTAGCTGGGATTATAGGCATGCACCACCATGCCTGGCTAGTTTTGCATTTTTCGTAGAGACAGGGTTTCACCATGTTGGCCAGGCTGGTCTTGAACTCCTGACCTCTGCTGATCTGCCCGTCTCAGCCTCCCAAACTGCTGGGATTACAGACGTGAGCCACCATGCCCAGCCATAACTGCATTTTTATAAGTAATTTATACTAGACTTAGCTAACATTGATAAATCTATTCCAAATGTGCCTTTAGGGTTTTTTTGTTCAAATGTTGTTCCCATTTATTGTTTTTCTAATTTAATTAATAAAAATTAGTTGTACAGTTAGATAATAGTTTTGTAAAATCATTTATTGTATACAATTTTTCATTCCCATTCATTTAACAAATGCATATTTACTGAGCATTTAGAGTGATTTTGTTTCTCTATGCTATTCATTGGTTATGAAGCTTAATCCATGCCTCTGAAAATATTATTTAGCTGCTCACAGCCTCATATACAGATTGCCTTGGGTATAATCTTATTTTATTTTCCTCTTACTTACAGATCTTTTGGGAACCAGGCTTGAAAATGAAGGAGATAGCCTCCTGCAGACTCAAGCATGTCTCTGCTATATTTGTGCAGGGAATGTAGAGAAATTAGTTGCATGTTGGACTAAAGCTCAAGATGGAAGCCACCCTTTGTCACTTCAGGTAGTATCTTTGAAACAAAAGGCACTTAATTTTTAGTGTTGTCTTTCACCCTACTTATCATCAAGTTATAATCTATAAGTTCATTTTTTCTATACATTCAAGAACTTCTTTTGCTGGATAATTATATGCATTTATTGCTATCTTTGAAGAAGCAAAGTTTGAGATGATAGGATAGGAAAATGGGGTTGCAGCTGTTGTAAAATCATGGTTGTGATTTGTGAGTTTATTGGGGGAAATAGGTGGCAGGAGGATTGAAAACAGCTCTAGGGTTTACCTCTTTTTCTGTGTGCTCCTCTGTCTGCTTCCAGTGGCTCTGCCTGCCATGAGCAAAGAAAGAAGCAATGTGGGTAAAGGAATAGGAGGCATCCCCAATGCCAGTAGAGAATCTTTATGGTTAAAGGAAAATGAAAGTGAGAGGTAAATGGAATCCCATGTAGCAGAGGTCCCCAACCCCCAGGCCATAAACCAGTACCCTTCTGTGGCCTCTTAGGAACCTGGACTCACAGCAAGAGGTGAGCAGTGGGTGAACGAGCATTATTGCCTGAGCTCTGCTTCCTTTCACATCAGTGGTGGCATTAGATTCTCGTGGGAGCACGAACCCTTATGTGGGCTGTGCATGCAACGGATCTAGGTTGTATCCTCCTTATCAGAATCTAATACCTTATGGAACAGGCCAGGTGGAACAGTTTTATCCTGAAACCATCCCCCCTGCTGGCCTGTGGAAAAATTGTCTTCCACGAAACCAGTCCCTGGTGCCAAATAGGTTGGGGACCACTGCCATGTGACACCAATACACAAGCAAGAGAGGAAGTAGAAAATGTGGGGACTATTCTCAGGTACTAACTATATATTAGATATTTTTTTCTAAGCATTTAAATCAAAGAGGCTTATGATAATTTTACCATATAATATTTCTCTTTCTGGAAAGAGATTTTCTCAACAGAGTCAGTGCTTTAAAGATCACTCTATTGAAACAAAAAAAATGGGTAGGAAATCAAGGTTTTCCTTTTAAGAGCTTCTCAGAGAAAAACACTTGTTTTACCCTTTTGGATTTATGCACTTAGGAAAGGCAGAAAGGTAGGCTATCCTTCTGCTTTCTACCAGAAGCATAGCTCCCCATTGTGGAAAGATTTGGTATTGAATGGCACATGAGAGCTTTGAGTTAAAATAGTAAACTCCTTTGGAAATCACATGCCTCTGTCTATGGGTCACCTCATAGTAGTACTATTTTTATAGGATAGATGGTGTGATGTTGTATTAGTCCATTTTCATACTGCAATGAAGAAATACCCAAGACTGGGTAGTTTATAAAGAAAAAGAGGTTTAATGAACTCACAGTTCCACATGACTGGGGAGGCCTCACAGTCATGGCTCAAGGTGAAGGAGGAGCAAAGGCACGTCTTACATGGTGGCAGGCAAGAGAGCATGTGCAGGGGAACTGCCCTTTATAAAACCATCAGATCACTGTCAAGAGAACAGCACTGGAAAAACCTGACCCATGATTCAATTACCTCCCACTGGGTTTCTCCCATGACACATGGGGATTATGGGAGCTAGAATTCAAGATGAGATTTGGGTGGGGACACAACCAAACCATATCAGATATTTTCACTCATAGTTCCTCCCATACAGGCTAGAACACAGTTTCTACCTTTAGACATCTGCCTATCATTTTCACTTTGAGTATTTGCCTGTTTTAGCTCACTAGACAAGTATCTGGTAGCTTAAGGATATTTAGGAAAAGGTGGTAACCTTCCTATCCTACCCTATCCATAAGTAAGAGGCCTTCTTCCTCCTTACTACTTTTTCACTTACCTAAATAGTGGCTGTACTTTTCTAGGAGGGATGATAACAGGTACTATATTTTTAGTGGGTTTTAGAAATCTTAGTAACTCTTGATCTTTTCCTGCTTCCTCTCATACATGGTCTTGATATTTCTGTTTGTTACTCATTTTTTTCATTTAGGATCTGATTGAGAAAGTTGTCATCCTGCGAAAAGCTGTGCAACTCACTCAAGCCATGGACACTAGTACTGTAGGAGTTCTCTTGGCTGCGAAGATGAGTCAGTATGCCAATTTGTTGGCAGCTCAGGGCAGTATTGCTGCAGCCTTGGCTTTTCTTCCTGACAACACCAACCAGGTAATTAGAATTGACCATTTTTGTAATGTTTGAGTAAGGTGAGTCCAGTAGATAACACTTAGCATTAGATGTAAACATATTAGTAGGTAGAATGTTTTGGAGCAGTTGAATTTCTGTAACCTGACTGCAGGTAAATGTTATTGACAATTCTTCAGGGATCATTTTAGGTGTATCTAAGCTGTGTTAGAGAGATAGGATAATCTTGCAGTGCGATAGATTCCTTTGTACCGACATAGTATTTTAGGAAAATGAACAGGGAAAAGACCAACTTTTTATTTCTAAAGCCAAATGCTGATTCTTCATACAAAGTTCTTTGTAGGAATATTTTATGTCAAAAAGCTATAAATGTTAATGTTTAATCAAACAAATGGAGTTGTTAACATTTTTAAAATCCCATATGTTCCATCCCAGATAGTATTGAAGTTCATTCTGTATGCCATTTTAGTTTGATACTGTCTGTGGGCAAGTATATTTTTATGTATTCAGAGCAGAGGGAACTAATTAGATTGTCCTTACTTATTGCACAATAAAACTTGGGCAAAACTATACTTGTTTCAATTCAATTCAACAAGTGGGTATAGAATGGTGAATAAGATTGCCAAGATCCTTCCTCTAGGAAGCCTCCAAACTCAATTTGGCTATGGACAAGTAAACATGAGATTCCAGAAGTGTGATATAAGTACTGTGATAAGGGTATTGGTGCTGTGGAACCCAACAAAGGGAAACCCAAACCCAGTTATGGAGCATGGGTAAAAGTACGGGTGAGGTTTGAGGAAACTTTTCCACAACAATATATCTGCATTTTGTGTCTGATGGAGCTTGATTTTGAGCCTTGCAGATACAGTCTTGTCTCTGTACTTTTTTATTAATCACTTTATTCTGTATTTTATGTATTTTTTTAGTCAATTGTTTCTAGTATTTTGTCTGTTTTAGAGAATTATTGATAAATTTCATTGAGTAAAAGTACATAATATTCTCCAGGACTATGGAGGTAGGACTCTCTAGTTGGTTTTGTATACACTTAGCTGTAAGATCCATCTCATTTGTTTCTGAATTGTTGATGGGAATGTTAGATAGAATAGCTGATACATAATCTTTTCCTTTATGGTGACTTTGGCATACTAGTTTTGTTAAGACTTTTTACCTAATAAGTAAAAAGTTATAAGTAAATAGTTATATTGAGGTATATTATAAGAACCTTTATCTTAAGACTAATTTGCTTTAAGACCCGTAGCTCATCTAGCTTAATTCATTTTCAGTACCATTTATAAGCACATCCATTTTCTATACATTATTCTTCATGCTTTTTTTTTTTTGGACTTTAAAGAACATTCTTTAGGCCAAAAAGCATAATTTTGATGTTGTTTCCTATTTATCTCAGTAGACCCTGCCTTTTTTGGTGGGGGGAATACGTCCTGAGACTTTGTGATAGCATTGTAATATATAATTCTCCCCCCCAAAAGGCAAATAAAATATGCCTAAAACATTTAAATGATCCCTTTAAACCTTTAACAAATATATAGGAATGTATAATTTTTAAAGATACTAAAATCTTGCTGAAACATTTTAACACATTGCCTTTTTGTTATTTGTTAATACTTAGAGCATATATAGGGTCACCTCATACTTTTGTAAGTCTCTATGCATGTAGATCTGTATGAGCTACAGATCTGAATTTCACATCTTAATCTTTATTTCAAAAATCTCTTTTAACATTTTCATCTCTTTCTTAAATCACCATTTTCTTCAATAACCACCTTTAGTAGTTGATTCTCTTTGGTGGCCTCTTTTAGTTATAGTTTTTTTTTTTTTTTTTTGAGACGGATTCTTGCTCTGTCGCCCAGGCTGGAGTGCAGTGGTATGTTCTCAGCTCACTGCAAGTGCCGCCTCCCTGGTTCACGCCATTCTTCTGCCTCAGCCTCCCGAGTAACTGGGACTACAGGTGCCCGCCACCACACCCAGCTAATTTTTTGTATTTTGAGTAGAGATGGGGTTTCACCGTGTTAGCCAGGATGGTCTCGATCTCCTGACCTCATGATCTGCCTGCCTCGGCCTCCCAAAGTGCTGGGATTGCAGGCGTGAACCTCTGCGCCTGGCCTTAGTTATAGTTTTTAAAGTAGTTTTGTAATTTATGAGCATTAGGTAACCACAAGAAAACATCAAAAGAGTAGTAATAAGTGATATTGGTCTTGCATAGTAACCATGAGGTAGGTATAACTCAGATCTCTGCCTCAGTTAAATTACAAGTTGCACTGTATGTCATGGACCTTTGGTGCCAGTCTTGAGTAGTAGAAAGCACAATGTCAAATCTGTGTGTCAGGGTCTATTGTATAATACCCAGCATTATGAACAAAAAGGGATATCTTGATGAATAATCTGATTAAGAAAATTAACATGCTGTCATATACCTGGGTGAACTCTCAACAGTCTGCTGTTTTTCCAATCCTTTTTAGCCAAATATCATGCAGCTTCGTGACAGACTTTGTAGAGCACAAGGAGAGCCTGTAGCAGGACATGAATCACCTAAAATTCCGTACGAGAAACAGCAGCTCCCCAAGGGCAGGCCTGGACCAGTTGCTGGCCACCACCAGATGCCAAGAGTTCAAACTCAACAATATTATCCCCATGTGAGTGATATGGTCCAGATGAAGTAGGAACACTTTTGTATTTCTCTTCAAATTGGTGGTTTTCATTTGTTCAGCAGGAGACCTTCTCTGATATGGTAAAACTAGACAATATATTGTTATAATAGATCTATTTTCTAGAATCTTGAAGTTGTATTTGTGATCTACTTTTTGAAATCATCTCTCTCATTTAGTCAAACAGATTATATTTTAAATATGAATTGGTTTTAAGTTCTCTAGGGAGATTTGTTCTATTTCTCTGTCACTCAAAGTTCACTTAAACATGTACATCTACTATTAAAATTTCTATTTGATTCATCTAACAAGCTGTAAAGTAGCAGGAAAAATCTTGGTGATTTGGTTGTTTTATAAAATATTTTTAGAAGATAGTATTTTTTGAGTATTCTTAATCATTAGTATAGGTTTAGGCTTAGTGTATTCTGTATTTGCACAATATGAAGTGTATCCAGAATACAGACTTTTTTTTTTTTTTGGACAATTTAGATATTAGAGAAAAATGAATGACCAAAGGTTTGTGAAATTTTAGATTATGTGGAATGTGAAAAGAACTAATAATTTTATTTAAATTACCAAATGTTTGGTGTCATAAAATGTGGCTTCTTACTATTTTTTACTGTTTCACATGGAAACTTCCATATTTCCAGACCAGCAGATAACCTTCATGTACTTAAATGAAGAATATTTTTTCCATAGGTAATAAATGGTCTTGATTGATAGCAAAGTTAACAGGTACTCTGCCTATTTTAAAATAGAACAAATTGCTGATAGGATTGATGGAGTCTTTTTACATTTTGTTATAGCAAAAGTAAATATAAAATCTTGAAAAACAAAAAAAATTAATGCCCTTTTGTCTGTTATGTTTTTGTTTGGTACTACTAAATCAGGATAGATTACATTTGAATGTAACTGTTAACTCTCTAGAATACTCTCTATTTTGACTTTTTTCATTCATTTGACAAATATTTTTTTAAGACCCTGCCATGAGTGCCTGGCATTGCTCTGGCTGCTGTGGGGGTATAGTTATGAACAAAACAGAGTAAATTCCCCCCTTCATGGAGATTGCACTAGACTTAGTCTGTGACATAGGTAGGGCAGAACAGATGATGGCTGGGAAAACTGAGAAGCAGAGATGTCAAGCAACCCACCAGAACTGAAGACACAGAGCTTGAATTTCTCAGCGTTGCATGGCTGGTTACCGGCCAAGTTGGGATTAGAACTCCCAAGCGTCTTGTTAAACCAAGCTACCTGTCAGGTACTGAAGCAAGGCAAGCTCTACATTAGGAAAAGAGAATATTTGCTCTTTATGTCCTTAGCTTTTTCTTTCTTGAAAAAGATAAAAACATTGAAAGATTTGTTATACTTTGATTTACCAATCTTACACTTGTAGGAAAAGACAAAGTGAATCGTAAATAAAGCAGTGATTTTCTTGATTAAAGCTTAAGATGTACTGAATGAATGAGGACAGTGGCTTGTGGTTTTAATGCAGTGTTAACAGGCAGAGGCAAGGGGGTGAGAGAGGCCAGATCAGGAGGACTTGCACTTCCACTTTGACCAGCGCAGCTTTGCCTTTACAGTTGACCCTTGAACCATGTGGGTTAGGGGTACCGACCCTGCGTACAGTTGAAAATCTATGACTTCACTCCCCAGAACTTAACCCCTAAAATTAGCGTGCTGTTGACTGGCAGCCTTGCTGATAACATGAACAGTCCATTAACACACAATTTATATGTTGTATTTATTATATACCGTATTCTTAACAATGAAGTAAGCAGGCCAGGCGCGGTGGCTCACGCCTGTAATCCCTGTACGTTAGGAGGCCAAGGCAGGTGAATCCCCTGAGGTCAGGAGTTCGAGACCAGCCTGGCCAACATGATGAAACCCTGTCTCTACTAAAAATACAAAAAATTAGCTGGCATGGTGGCGCATGCCTGTAATCCCAGCTACTCAGGAAGCTGAGGCAGGAGAATCGCTTGAACCCGGGAGGCGGAGGTTGCAGTGAGCTGAGATCACGCCATTGCACTCCAGCCTGAACAACAAGAGCAAAAAACTCTGTCTCAAAACAAACAAACAAAAAAATAATGAAGTAAGCTAGAAAAAAGAAAATGTAATTAAGGAAATCATAAGGAAGAGAAAATATATTTACTATTCATCATTAATATTCATCATTAAGTGGAAGTAGTCTTCCTTCTTGTCATCACATTGAATATGCTGAAGAGGAGGGGTTGGTCTTGATGTCTCAGGGATGGCAGAGGGAGAAAAGGTGGAGGAGGTGGAAGGGGAGGCAGGAGAGTCAGGCACACTCAGTGTAACTTCTATTGAAAAAAATTCACATCTAAGTGGACCCATGCAGTTGAAACCCATGTTATTCAAGAGTCAATTGTATTATTATTATTATTATTATTATTATTATTATTATTATGTTTTGGAGTTTCTGCAAAGATTTACTTGACAAAAAGGATTTTGATGGCTTAAAAAAACAAACAGGCCGGGCGTGGTGGCTCACGCCTGTAATCCCAGCACTTTGGGAGGCTGAGGCGGGCGGATCACGAGGTCAGGAGATCGAGACCAGCCTGGCTAACACAGTGAAACCCCGTCTCTACTAAAAATACTAAAAATTAGCTGGGCATGGTGGCAGGCGCCTGTAGTCCCAGCTACTCAGGAGGCTGAGGCAGGAGAATGGCATGAACCTGGGAGGCGGAGTTTGCAGTGAGCTGAGATCGCACCACTGCACTTCAGCCTAGCGACAGAGTGAGACTCCACTCCGTCTCGGAAAAACAAACAAACAAACAAACAAAAAAACAATGGCCTCTAGGGCAAGCAACATGGTGTAGTATAGAAAACACTGGCCTGGAAATCAGGTGACTTGGAATCACCATTGAGTTGTACGGTCCCTTCACTTCTCTGGGCCTTGGTTTTGTCAGCAATAAAGGGTGGGGATTAGACTGGAAGATCTTTAATATTCAGCTTTAATACTCTGATTGTATGAGTTTTAAGCTTCATATTGGACTGATATGACTTTTGTGGCTGTAATGAAATCCAGAAAAGAGAGCTTATACCACTGTGTTTGTAGATTAGTAGTAGCTTGAATACTATTAATGCTTCCAAAAAAAAAATCACTTTTTTACTCAATTACTTTTTTTTTTCCTGGAATGTCTTTTTTCCTTCTCTACTTACAAAGCCTCACTTTACCCACTTATAATTGACACTTGAATGGCATTGTTCTTGTGCTTTGATTTAGGTTTTCATATTGATTTTTCTCCTGCCTTCCTCTCCCTGTTTCATTGTGATTGTGTGGTTTTTGTTGTTGTTGTTTTGTTTTGTTTTTTTGGGAATTCCAGCTACCTTGAAAGCAGTTGCCTGACTAATGTATGTTATCTTGCCAATCTTACCTTTGGCTTTGCATCTGGCTATTAATACCTTTTGGGGTTTTTTTCTTCTTTTAACGTTTTCATTTTTTATTTTCTGTGATTGGTATTTCTTTGTTCAATTCAGGTTAGAATTGCCCCTACTGTCACTACCTGGAGTAACAAAACTCCTACTGCCCTTCCCAGCCATCCACCTGCAGCCTCTCCCTCTGACACACAGGTATATCCTTCATTATTCCTCTTTGAGCAGAATTCTGCTCACCTAAATATACAGTTATATGTTCTCTACTTACCTTCCTCAAGCTCTTTCACCCCCACTCCCCATCCATCTGCCTGCTCATTGCATTTTAATGCTTTTAGGATGCAAGAAGCAGTTTTTAGCACAATTAATTTATTTCCTTATCCTTCCCCTCCTTCTTTTGCAGTTTTAAATTGACTTGAACTACAAAAACACCAACCAAGGTTTTGACAATGGTTTAAATCTGATTTTACTGAAGACTTTTTTTCTTTTTTCTTTCTTTTTCCTTTTTTAGCATTGCAGAAATTGAAGAGAAACAAAAGATCCCTTTATGGCATTTATACTTATATTTACAGAGTGGAGTAGTGGATGGAAATTAGTAGAGATGGAAAATCCTGGTGACATTTCATAAATATTTTTAAAGGCTGTTAGCATCTTTTGCCATTCATTGCAATTATTACTTTGGATCTGTCTGATCTTTAATCATTCAAAATGTGCTGCTCAGAAAATGTGGTATTATGAGGAAGATAGAATATGCAAAATGCAATGTTTCTTATGCAATAAAGTTTTTTTTTAAATAAACATAGAATTCCATTTCAGAGATTGTAATTCCATCTGGTGAAGTTCCTGGTTCTACTTGTATCCGCCTTCTTACCATGTTCTTGTTTCTTAGGGAGAAAATCCTCCACCTCCGGGTTTCATAATGCATGGAAATGTTAATCCAAATGCTGCTGGTCAGCTTCCCACATCTCCAGGTCATATGCACACCCAGGTACCACCTTATCCACAGCCACAGCGTAAGTAGTGTGACCCCAAAGTCCTTTCAGAGCAGTATTTATGATCTAATTTAGTAACTTTACTTTGAAGCCCCAAAGTCATTGTCAAATCAATAAGTAAGAACCATTGTGCATAGGATTCCTGAGTCCCTGCTACAAAGAGACATGTTTTTTTAGGAGGTGGCCTGAATCACTATGCTAGGAAGTAGCTCCTTTGTCACACTGTTCAGAGTAGTTGACTCCTGTTCCTCAGCCATTACTAAGACTTGTTAAAGATAATCAAGTGTCCCATGATTTTGGTATAAAGAAACAGAATTTTAGAAATTATTTTTTACATATTCTTTTTCTTCAGGCAAGATGACACAAATTATTTTTGGAAAAATGGTTTCAAGGGGCATTTGTTATTACTGTTTTTCCATTTTATTTATTTATTTAATAGACTTTGTATTTTAGAGCAGTCTTAGGTTCAGAACAAAATTGAGCAGAAAGTACAGAGTGCCCCCACTATTGACATCCTACGCCACAGTGGTGTATTTGTTACAATCGATGAACCTACATCAATGTCTCATTATCACCCAAAGTCCACAGTTTACACTCTCAGTGTTGTACATTCTGTGGATTTTAACAAATGTGTAATGACATGTATCTATTAGTGGCATTTTTAAAAGAAAATAATTATACCTGGAAAGTGAAATATTGCCACTATTTGAAAATTTAAATGCAAAAAAAAAAAATAAAAATCTCAAAGGGGAAAATTTAATGAATGTGTTCTGTGCTAAAATGAATGTTATTGTTCAACATAAATATGAATTTGATACAACCTTTCACTCAAATGTTTAATGTGAAAGCTGTCTTCAGAGTAGATAGGAAACAGATCCACTTTTACTAGATTCACTCTATCGAGGTTCATACCTACTCTTGGTCACAAAGAATGTGAATGTGATGGTATTTATATTTAGATCTCCCTAAGCCACGCATGGTGGTTCATGCCTGCAATCCCAGCACTTTGGGAGGCTGAAGTTAGGAGGATTGCTTGAGGTGAAGAGTTTGACCCCAGCCTGGGGAACAAAGGAAGACGCCATCTCTACAAAAGAAAAATGTAAAAATTAGGTGGGTGTGGTGGCACCTATAGCCTGTAGTCCCAGCTACTCAGGAGGCTGAGGCAGGAGAATCGCTTGAGCACAGGAGTTTGAGAATACAGTGAGCTACGATCACACCATTGCACTCCAGTTTGGGTGACACAGCAAGACCCTGTCTCAAAGAAAAAAAAAAAAAAACCCACAACTCCCTAATCTGGGTTTAGGTCTTTGCATTAAAACATGAGTTGGCTGCCTTGCCTGATTGTTTACTAACCATCTTCATACTGTATGTAAAATTTTGTTAGGGATCATAGAGTTAGCCGTTAATCTGGAACTGTGCTCAAACTCAGAATTTCAGTAGCTGGTAATTTAACTGGATGTTGGAGAAGATATTTGATACATAACAATAGTGTTCACCCTACAGTTCTTATTGGGAGGGAGGTCTGGAGCTGCCACCAAACTCCATGTAACTTTTTCTGTGAAGTGGGGTGCTTTGAATGTGTAATTCCTCCCTGGTTCCATCTGGTGGTCACTGTTGTCTCTTCACAGGATCAGGAAAAGTCTCAGAAAAGGGTCAGTCTTGCAGTTCTTGGGTCTGATGATTCAAATATTTTCATAACCAGAGGCAGTTTGGGGATGGCATTTTTCAAATACTGAAGCTATTGAATTCAAGTGTATTTGGGGCATTTGAGCCTCAAAAATATAATGGTGTAAATTTTTAATTTGGGATTGTAACTTATTTTGATTAAAATCATTTCTATAGACTGAGATAACTTTTTAGTTTTCTGCTACTATCTGAATAAACTTGTAACTAATTGAAATTTCTGTTTCTTCTCCTTGGTGTAGCTTATCAACCAGCCCAGCCGTATCCCTTCGGAACAGGGGGGTCAGCAATGTATCGACCTCAGCAGCCTGTTGCTCCTCCTACTTCAAACGCTTACCCTAACACCCCTTACATATCTTCTGCTTCTTCCTATACTGGGCAGTCTCAGCTGTACGCAGCACAGCACCAGGCCTCTTCACCTACCTCCAGCCCTGCTACTTCTTTCCCTCCTCCCCCTTCCTCTGGAGCATCCTTCCAGCATGGCGGACCAGGAGCTCCACCATCATCTTCAGCTTATGCACTGCCTCCTGGAACAACAGGTACACTGCCTGCTGCCAGTGAGCTGCCTGCGTCCCAAAGAACAGGTCTGCGCTTGAAAGGGATTTGGTTTGGCCCCCTCCTTTATTTGTTTATGAACAGATGGGTGGATGGAGGGGTATTATTTCTAACTGTTTGTAAACTGGGTAATGTGAGGTGTTGACTGAGGTTTGGGTTTGTTTTTTGTGTTTTTTGTTTGTTTGGTTTTTTTTTTTGTGATGGAGTCTCTCTCTGTCACCCAGGCTGTAGTACAGTGGTGCACTCTCGGCTTACTGCAACCTCTGCCTTCCGGGTTCAAGCGATTCTCCTGCCTCAGCCTCCCGAGTAGCTGGGATAACAGACATGCACCACCACACCTGGCTAATTTTTGTATTTTTAATAGAGATAGAGTTTCATCATGTTGGCCAGGCTGGTCTCGAACTCCTGACCTCAAGTGATCCACCCGCTTCGGCCTCCCAAAGTGCTGGGATTACAGGTGTGAGCCACTGAACCTGGCCTTGATTGAGTTTTTGTTGTTGTTGTTTTTGGGGTTTTTTTGTTTTTTTTAAGACCCAGTCTCATTCTGTTGCCTAGGCTGGAGTGCAGTGGCGTGATCTCGGCTCACTGCAACCTCCACCTCCTGGGTTCAAGTGATTCTCCTGCCTCAGCCTCCTGAGTAGCTGGGACTACAGGCACGAGCCGCCAAGCCCAGCTAATTTTTGTATTTTTAGTGTGTGTGTATATATATATATATATATATATATAAAATTTTTTTTTTCTTTTTTGAGATGGAGTCTCATTCTGTCACCCAGGCTGGAGTGCAATGGCATGATCTCAGCTCACTGCAACCTCCGTCTCCCGGGTTCAAGCGATTCTCCTGTCTCAGCCTCCCAAGTAGTTGGGATTACAGGTGTGCACCACCAAGCCCAGCTAATTTTTGTATTTTTGGTAGAGACGGCTTTCACCATGTTGGCCAGGCTGGTTTCAAACTCCTGACCTCAAGCGACCCTCCTGCCTCAGCCTCCCAAAGTGCTGGGATTACAGGCGTGAGCCACTGCATCTGGCCATAAATAAATTTTAAAAATAGAAAAAGTATGTTTTTGTACAGCTATACAATATTTATGTTTTAAGCTAAGTGTTATTACAAAAGAGTCAAAATTAAAATATTTAAAAGTTTATAAAGTAAAAAAGTTACAGCAAGCTAAGGTTAATAAAATAATTTTAAATAAATTTAGTGTAGCCTAAATGTAGTGTTTATAAAATCAACAGTAGTGTATAGTAATGTCCTAGGCCTTTACCTTCACTCACAACTCACCCAGAGCATCTTCCAGTCCTCTAAGGTTCATTTGTGGTGAGTGCCCTATACAGGTATACCATGTTTTAAATCTTTTGTACCATATTTTACTGTACCTTTTCTATGTTTAGAACACAAATACCATGGTGTTACAGTTGCCTACAGTATTGTGTTCAGTACAGTAACATGATGTACAGGTTTGTACCCTAGGAGTAATAGGCTATATTATACAGCCTAGGTGTGTGGTGGGCTATACCATCTGGGTTTGTGTAAGTGCACTCTGTGATGTTCACACGACGATGAAATCATTTAATGATGTATTTCTCAGAACGCATACCCATTATTAAGTGACACATGACTGTATAATATTAAAGTCCAGAGTACCAAAACTTACACACATACACACTGTATGCATAATCCTTAACTACACAAATAAGATTCCAGTAATACACTACAGATACATCAATAGTTTGATATTTTAGAGAGGAATGCTAATTCATTTGTAGAGTTCCAAAAATTACCTTTTAAAACTTGGGTGACTGAAGATAGTATCCTTTCTCGGTAGTTGGGTAAGAATCAGAATTCTTGAGTGAAAGAGGTGGCGTGGGTTGGAGTAAATCCCCACTTAAAAAGTGGTGCAGGGAAGTAGGGAAGGGAATTAACATTTATTGAGCTCATATTGGACATGTTCTGGCACTTGTTATATGTTTTCTTATTTAAGTCTTACAACCTTGAGAAGTAGTAATAATTATTTCTTTAAAAATTACAGATGAAAAAACTGAGTTTCTTAGGAGTTATGTTTCAGGATTGCACAGTGATAGTCTCCAAGTTGAGATATAAACCAGGTCCCTATCTTCAAAGCCCATGTTCATTCTTCTATACCAGGTAGTTTAGTCCTGGTGTAAATGATAGAAAACTATCATCATTGCAATTTCAAAAATCATCCAGCAACACTGTTTGAGGCATTTGTTACTTTATAATCTAAATTAAATGTTTGCATAGATATTCTTTTTCTCCTTAAGCAGAAGTGCCTGTGGCCTTGAGATTAGTCTTTGTTTATATACAAAGTAACAGAATGTTTTAACCTGGCTGAGAAACAGAGTGACTAACAGGAAGAGGAAGCCAGACAACACTTTTCAGTGTTCAGCATGCAGTATGCTTGTCTGCTTTGTTACCTCTTGCACGTTAGTAGTGTGCTATATTTTAATCTACTGACAACTGTATCTTATAGTAGTCTGCTGTATTTTAATCTACTGACAACTTTATCTTATTTTCTTTTTGGATTTCCTAAAAGTTTTTGCTTAGGTTATTTAAATAATTATAAATGAGGCTGGGCACGGTAGCTCACACTTGTAATCCTGCCACTTTGGGAGGCCGAGGCAGGTGGATCACCTGAGGTCAGGAGTTGAGACCAGCCTGGCCGATGTGGCGAAACCCTGTCTCTACTAAAAATACAAAAATTAGGCTGGGCGCGGTGGCTCATGCCTGTAATCCCAGCACTTTGGGAGGCCAAGGCGGGCGGATCACCTGAGGTCAGGAGTTCAAGACCAGCCTGGCCAACATGGCGAAACCCCGTCTCTACGAAAAACACAAAAATTAGCCAGGCGTGGTGGTGCATGCCTGTAATCCCAGCTACTCGGGAAGCTGAGGCAAGAGAACCGCTTGAACCCAGGAGGCGGAGATTGAAGTGAGCCGAGATCGCACCACTGCACTCCAGCCTGGGCAACAAGAGCGTAACTCCATCTCAAAAAAGAAAAAAAAATACAAAAATTAGCTGGACGTGGTGGCGGGCGCCTACAATCCCAGCTACTCAGGAGGCTGAGGCAGGAGAATCGCTTGAACTCCGGAGCAGAGGTTGCAGTGAGCTGAGATCGTGCCACTGCACCCCAGCCTGGGCGAAAGACCAAAACTCCATCTCAAAAAATAATAATTATAAACAAAAATTTTGTCGTTCCGATATGTCTTAGATAACAATTTTGTTTAGGATTTAGAAAGTCCAGCTGTTCAATAGTTAATTTCTGACAGATAGGAGAGACTTTCAAGCCTTCTATTAGTGAACAACAAAATTATGTGCTCAGGGCTCAGAGAAACTAATGTTGCAATCTGTAAAACATTCATTCGGTAAATTCTCAATGGATACCTGTTTGGTCTACAATCAGAATTATCCCAGACAGAGATAATGGAGGCAGAAAAGACCATACATTTCTAGTGAAGAGCAAATTGAACATATAGTTTGTATTTAGGCCAAATTTTGGAGAGCCTTAAGTACCAGGGCAAGGAGTTTTACTTCATATAATACAATAAGAAAGAAGTTTCTCATGAAGGATTTTGAACTGCTGAGTGGTGCAGTCAAAGTGGTACGCGAGGGAGATTAATCTGGATGTGGCCTTGCAAGATAAATTGTTTGCAGCACAGCAGAATCAGAGGTAAGAAAACAGGCTCTTTCCTAGTTCTAGGTAGGAGATGGTAACAGCCTGAGTTGGGATAGTGCATTGCCGTTTCTGTGATGGCAGCACAGGATAGCAGGGAGTTTTCCCTGTTTTACTATCTAGGATAACTGCCTGTCACTTTTGTTTCTGTTTCTAGGAGGGAGAGCACTTTCAAATATGAAGACTAATTTAATTTATGTATATAATCTTGTACTTCACAAAGAAGAGTCTTGAAGGGGAATAATACTGTATATTCTCATGAAACAGTGTTCTGAAATTTAAAAAAATTTTCATGAACATTCCTTAGGCAAATTGTAGCACCTGGTTTTAACTATTCAAGTAAAGGAAAGCATGATATCCTTCCTTACTTTTCTTTGGATAATTCTATCTTGTATCATTAGAAAATGACTTCAAGGATTCATGTCTTTCTAAATTTTCATTTTTAATTTTGTGATACTCATTTTAAACCTGTGACATGCTAGGCTTATAGGGAAAGGAAAGATGTATGGTTGACAAAGATGCTCTATTCTCTATTTCAAATTAATGTTCTAGCCACAATTCTCTATGCTTTTGGCACTAACATTTTCCCTGAGTCCACTGAAAAGTATCTTAGCCAGTGCATAGATTCTACCATTATGCTCCTATAAGAGTACCTAAGAAGGTTTCCAGTGAGAAGTGGGATTGGGTAAGGATGCTGTGCAACTCCACCCATGCATGTGAGACCAGCAGTTCCCTCTTCCTTCCCCCAGTGATTCTCTGGAAGATAAATCTCTACGCTAAGGTGGATAGGACTCCATAGTATTCAGTGACATGCTATATTTATTTTTTAAATGAATGTTTCTTGGGGCGGGCACAGCAGAGTGCATGAGCCCTGGAGTTCGAGACCAGCCTAGGCAACATGGCAAGAGCCCATGTCTATAAAAAATACAAAAAACTAGCCAGGTGTGGAAGCACATGCCTATATTCCCAGCTACTTGGGAGGCTGAGATGGGAGAATTGCTTGAACCCGGGAGACAGAGGTTGTGAGCTGTGATCGCACCTAGGCGGCAGTGAGACCCTGTCTCAAAACAACAAAAAAAACTTCCTTGCTTTTTATTAATTTTTCACTGTAGGAAGTTTTTAAAAGACTCAAAGTCATATAAAAAATAAAATAAAAATTACCTATAATTCTACTGCCCAAATATAACTACTATTAATTTAGGTTTATTTATTCCCTTCATACAGACATACACATACATACATGCATACATAAAAACTTGCATTAAAGTTTTTATTGTGGTGAAATTATATATATATATATATATATATATATATATATATATATATGATAAAATTTATTTTAACCATGTTTGAAGGTACAGCTCTGTGGCATTAAGTACATTTATATTGTTTTGCAACCAGCAGAACTTTTAAAAAATTTTTGGGGTACATAGTGGGTGTATATGTTTTTGAGGTACATGAGATATTTTGATACAGGTATACAATGCATAATGATCACATCAGGGTAAATGGTATTGGAGTATCCATCACCTCAAGCGTTTGTCATTCTTTGTGTTGTAAACAGTCCATATACTAAAAGTAACTAAAGGAGTACTTTTAGTTACTTTTAAATGTACAATAATTATTGTTGACTGTAGTCACCCTGTTGTGATGTCAACTAGATCTTATTCAGTTCTATCTAACTATATTTTTGTACCCATTAGCCATCCCTGCAGAATTTTTTCATCATCTCATACTGAAACACTGTACCCATTAAATAATAGCTTCTGTTCCCCACAGCTTCTGGTAACTACTGTTCTACTTTCTGTCTCTATGTATTTGACTATTCTAGGTACCTTATATAAGTAGAATCATGCAACATTTGTCCTTTTGTGTTTGGCTTTTTTGACTGGCATAATGTCTTCCAGGTTCATCTATGTTGTAGCATGTATCAGAATTTTTTTTAAGGCTGAGTAATACTCCATTGTATGTATATACCACATTTGTTATTTGTTATTCATCTGCCGATAGACACTTTGTCTATTGTGAATAATGCTGCTGTGAACAGGGATGTGCAAATATCTGTTTGAGTCCTTGCTGTTAATTCTTTTTCTTTTTTTTTTTTTTTTTTTTGAGATGGAGTCTCACTCTGTTGCCCAGGCTGGAGTGCAGTGGGGCGATCTCGGCTCACTGCAACCTCCGCCTCCTGGGTTCAAGCAATTCTCCTGCCTCACCCTCCCAAGTAGCTGGGACTACAGGCATGTGCCACCACGCTCAGCTAATTTTTGTATTTTTAGTAGAGATGGGGTTTCGCCATATTGGCCAGGCTGGTCTCGAACTCCTGACCTTGTGATCCACCCACCTTGGCCTCCCAAAGTGCTGGGATTACAGGCATGAGCCACCGCGCCCGGCCAATTTTTTAGTGTATATACCTAGAGGTGGAATTGCTGGATCAAACAGTAATTCCACATTTAGTTTTTTGAGGAACCACCACACTGTTTTTCACAGCAGCTGCACCATTTTACGTTCCCGCCAGGAATGCACGAGTGTTTCAGTTTCTCCACATCCATGCCAATACTTGTGTTTTCTGTTTTTCAATAGCCATCCTAATGGGTTTGAAGTAGTAATTCATTGTGTGCATGCATTTTTAAAGAATTAGGATCATAACACAAACACACACATACACATAATTTTACATCTTACTTTTTCCTTTTTTTTTGTTCCACTCCGTCACTCAGGCTGGAGTGCAGTGGCTCAATCTCGACTCACTGCAACCTCTGTCTCCTAGGTTCAAGCAATTCTCATGCCTCAGCATCCCAAGTAGCTGGAACTACATGTGTGTGCCACCACGTCCAGCTAATTTTTGCGTTTTAGTGGAGACGGGGTTTCACCATGTTGGTCAGGCTAGTCTCGAACTCCTGACCTCAGGTGATCCATCCACCTCAGCCTCCCAAATACTGGGATTACAGGCGTAAGCCACCACGCCTGACCTTACTTTTTTCTTAATATTACACCATGAACCATTTTTCCATGCCCTTAAAGTCATGTCATGTTTTAAAAAGAGTAAAAGATTCATCCCCACTTTATAGTTTTTTGAAAGAGTTAAAAAAGGATAGGGGAGGATTATTTCCTCTTCAGTTTTCTGAAACATTTCTGTTCAAGGTTAAAATGTACTGTGTTGATATTTTTTTTAAGCGTTGACCAAGAGTATCATTTTTCACATCCGTAATGAATCTCCATAGTACTGTCTTCTGTAGATATTCATGTTCTTCATGTAGCTTGTTTTATGTCCTGTCGCTATTAAAGGATGTCTCTATAAAGTAGAGATCAGTTGAACTGTTTGTAAAAAGTCATGTTTAGGCCAGGAGTTGTGGCTCATACCTGTAATCCCAGCACTTTGGGAGGTCAAAGTGGGTGCATCGCTTGAAGTTAGGAGTTCGAGACCAGCCTGGCCAACATGATGAAACCCCCATCTCTACTAAATATACAAAACTTAGCCAGGCATGGTGGCGAGCACCTGTAATTCCAGCTACTCAGGAGGCTAAGGCAGGAGAATTGCTTGAACCCAGGAGGCAGAGGTTGCAGTGAGCCGGGATTGTGCCATTGCACTCCAGCCTGGGTGACAGAGCGAGACTCCCTCTCAAAAATAAATAAATAAATAAAATCCTTGAGTAGGAGAAGTTTTTTTTAAAAAAGTCACTAAATCTAAATCTATAAAAGCAAAAAGGATTGAAAGGGGTTAGAATTATAATTGAGACAAAATTGTACATTAAATTAATAAAAGGACTGTTGGGGTTCTGCTAAAACACATGGCTTGATATATTGCATGGTTTGAGGTTAGGAGGAGTTAGGCATATGTTTTGGGAGAGGGGTACTTAATTATAAAATATTGCCTTCTATTCAGCAGACCTTCCCCACCCTCCTTTAACTTATTCAGGCTAGCCAACGGACCTTCCTCCTGAGAGGCTTGTTGGTTCTGATTCTATTCAGTTTTACCCCTAATTTAGAATTTGATTTTATTATGATTTGGTGTCATTTTACCAAGGGGACATAAGAAAATAGTTCCATAGACTTTTTTGTGCTGCTAATAGTTGGTGAAGTCTGGATACCCTCCCAGGCTTTAACACCCACAGCTTAAAAGCCGTCCTCATCTTCTGCACTTTCTTCTCATGAGGAAGGGGAAGAGGACATGTTGTTTTGACCTGACTAAAGGGTCAAGCCCACTGTGTTTCCAGTACTTTCAGGTTTGTATTATATTACCTCTCTCAGCCAGAAGCTGAAGCCTGGTGCTAGAGAGTGCATTAGTAGTTGGGAATCAGGTCAGTCCTCTATTGGAATGCACACACAGTGACTCACCGGGCATTTATAAACTATAGTGTTATGAAGTCATATCTCACATGGAGAGCTAGGTTGTAAAGTCATCATGTAAGATAAAAATAGAAAATCACTTACAGTCAATTATCCTTGATCCTTTTTACAGGTAAACCCCAGATGAAAAAGTTGGCTTGCATTTATATCTTGTATGAAAAACATCTGTCAGTAAACATTAGAATTGCACTCTACACAATGAGATTTCAAACTGTGGGATTACCTCTCCCCCCTCACAGTTTCCCTGGGACATGTGCTTCTTGAGTAGAGTCCAAACTAAATTGAACTCACTGTATTTTTTCTATTCTTTTACTGCCTATTTAATTGCAGAATGAAATAACAATTTTAATTTCTCCTTTCCTCCCTCCCTCATCAATTAATGATAGCTGAATCCACATGAGTTATATGTCTGACATACTGACATTCCATACCCTTGATTTGAGGCTAGGCCTGTCCTGACCCTAAGTATTTGACAATTGGGATTGCTATGTTTTCAGCCTGTTTTTCTCTTGTCCACTGCTATAAACTTTGGTTTCCTATAAGAAGTAGTGATTTCTGGGTGACTTGTGCTCAGTCTGCAAATCTGTATTTTTTTTTTTTTTTTTATAATTTAACTTTTGGGTTACATGCAGTTTTGTTACATGGGTATACATGTGCCATGGTGGTTTGCTGCACCCATCAACCCGTCACCTACATTAGGTATTTATCCTAATGTTATCCCTCCCCTAGCCCCCCACAGGCCCCAGTGTGTGATGTTCCCCTCCCTGTGTCCATGTGTTCTCATTCTTCAATTCCCATTTATGAGTGAGAACATGTGGTGTTTGGTTTTCTGATCTTGTGATAGTTTGCTGAGAATGACGGTTTCCAGCTTCATCCATGTCCCTGCAAAGTACATGAACTCATCCTTTTTTATGGCTGCATAGTATTCCATGGTGTATATGTGCCACATTTTCTTAATCCAGTCTATCATTGATGGACATTTGGGTTGGTTCCAAGTCTTTGCTATTGTGAATAGTGCCAAAGTAAACACACGTGTGCATGTGTCTTTATCGTAGAATGATTTATAATCTTTTGGATATATGCCCAGTAATGGGATGGCTGGGTCAAATGGTATTCCTAGTTCTAGATCCTTGAGGAATCGCCACACTGTCTTCCACAATGGTTGAACTAATTTACACTCCCACCAACAGTGTAAAAGCGTTCCTATTTTTCCACACCCTCTCCAGCATCTGTTGTTTCCTGACTTTTTAATGATCGCCATTGTAACTGGCGTGAGATAGTATCTCACTGTGGTTTTGATTTGCATTTCTCCAATGACCAGTGATGATGAGCATTTTTTCATATGTCTGCTGGCTGTATAAATGTCTTCTTTTGAGAAGTGTCTGTTCATATCATTTGCCCATTTTTTGATGGGGTTGTTTGCTTTTTTCTTGTAAATATGTTTAAGTTCTTTGTAGATTCTGGATATTAGTCCTTTGTCAGATGGATAGATTGCAAAAATTTTCTCCCATTCTGTAGGTTGCCTTTTCACTCTGATGATAGTTTCTTTTGCTGTGCAGAAGCTCTTTAATTAGATCCCATTTGTCAATTTTGGCTTTTGTTGCCATTGCTTTTGCTGTTTTAGACATGAAGTCTTTGCCTATGTCTATGTCCTGAGTGGTATTGCCCAGGTTTTCTTCTAGGATTTTTATGGTCCTAGGTCTTACATTTAAGTCTTTGATCCACCTTGAGTTGATCTTTATATAGGGTGTAAGGAAGGGGTCCAGTTTCAGTTTTCTGCATATGGCTAGCCAGTTTTCCCCAACACCATTTATTAAATAGGGAATCTTTTCCCCATTGCTTGTGTGTGTCAGGTTTGTCAAATATCAGATGCTGGTAGATGTGTGGTGGTATTTCTGAGGCCTCCGTTCTGTTCCATTGGTCTGTATATCTGTTTTGGTACCAGTACCTTGCTGTTTTGGTTACTGTAGCCTTGTAGTAATGTTTGAAATCAAGTAGCATGATGCCTCCAGCTTTGTTCTTCTTGCCCAGGATTGTCTTGGCTATGTGGGCTCTTTTTTGGTTCCATATGAAGTTTGAAGTAGTTTTTTCCAATTCTATAAGAAAGTCAGTGGTAGCTTGATGGGGATAGCATTGAATCTATAAATTACTTTGGGCAGTAAGGCCATTTTCACGATACTGATTCTTCCTATCCATGAGCATGGAATGTTTTTCCATTTGTGTCCTCTCTTAATTTCTTGAGCAGTGGTTTGTAGTTTCTCCTTGAAGAGGTTCTTCACATCCCTTGTAAGTTGTATTCCTAGGTATTTTATTCTCTTAGTAGCAATTGTGAATGGGAGTTCACTCATAAATCTGTATATTCTTACAGAAAAGACCATATGAGGTGGTTACATTATTTGCTGGGCCTATTCTCATTTATATGCACAGTATGACCCCAGAAATTACAGTTTCTGCAGGGTACAGACCACTGGGGCCTCCTAAATCCAGCAGTGAAAAATGATACCACTGTGCTAAGATAGGCACGTTTATCCTTATCAAATGCAGGTTGAAGTCTGTAGGACATGTAGAAATCACCCCATTTCTCCAGTTCCCTGCTACTTCAAGAGGGTGTTGGACCAGCAGCATTCGTATCATCTGGGAGATGGCTGCAAAGACAGTATCTAAGGTTCTATCACTATACCTAATGAATAAGAATCTGCGGTTTAACAAGATCCATAGCTGATTTGGATTCACAGCTTTGAACAATACCAAAATAGACACATTAGGTGAATATGCTAGGAAGTGCTGTCCCCTCAGTGATATTTCTGAGCTTCATTAGTTAAATAGTAGAAAAACAATCCATGCAAACAATTAGGGAAACATTGTTATTTTAAATATGAAGGGATAAAATTTTCTCTTAAAAAAGAACAGTAAGAAAAAAGTGATGTTTAAGAGTTAATTGGATCTAACAACTTAAATAAATTCCCTCTGTCAAAAAACCAGTTACTTTCTTAA
Source organism: Homo sapiens (assembly GCF_000001405.40). Lineage (NCBI taxonomy): Eukaryota > Metazoa > Chordata > Mammalia > Primates > Hominidae > Homo > Homo sapiens. The sequence continues at coordinate 82,831,143 of NC_000004.12, read as the reverse complement.
TTAGAAGACATTTCACATGACTTGATTAAAAAGTGAGTTTTGTTCTCTTATTAAATTAATTTACACTTTCTGGGGATTAATGAAGGGAGAAGAAACAATTATAAAATGAGTAAAGTTTAGAATGTCTTCAGTAAACACTGTTAAGTAATTTTTACATTTTGTCTACAGAAAACCAGTCTATCCAAGACCAGGCACCTATGTTGGAAGGTGAATTGGTTGTAAAATATACCTTTGGAAATCTTTGAATAATTGAATACAATTAATGAATGGACATTAACAATAATGCATGTGAACTTCAAAGATGATGATATCCCAAATCTGATCAGGATCATTTTTTTTATTTGGCTTCTTAATTGAATCAGATTTTACAACTGATTGAATTTACGTGATTACACAAGTAGCTTGGTTATAAAGGCTGTCTGTTTTATATAGACATAAAGAAAACAACTATGCCAAGACTGTCTTGAGCTACGGGTAAGACTAGAAAGTGATTGCAGAGATTTGAATGATTAATCTATGTAGAACCAGAAGTTTAAGAATTTGTTAATCAGAAAGCAGCATATGAGTTAATATTTTGTGGTTAACTCTTGACTGTTTTGAGCCATATCTGATTTTCTGTCTCCTAGTAAACTTTTAAGAAATGAATTCTGTTTTTATTTTTTTATTTTTATTTTTTACTTTTTTGAGACGGAGTCTCGTTCTGTCACCCAGGCTGAAGTACAGTGACACAATCTTGGTTCACTGCAACCTCCACCTCCCAGGTTCAAGCAATTCTCCTGCCTCAGCTCCTGGGTAGCTGAGACTACAGGCATGCACCACCACAAGCAGCTAATTTTTGTATTTTTAGTAGAGATGGGGTTTCCCCATGTTGGCCAGGCTGGTCTCGAACTCCTGACCTCAAGTGATCCACCCGCCTCAGCCCAAAGTGCTGGAATTACAGGCATGAGCCACTGCGCCTCGCCTGAATTCTGTTTTAAAATCAAGACAAGTAAGCGCTGGTGGTTAGTTGAAGATCTGTATTTTTTAAAGTTTCTGTGACTTTGGTTTGACAGTTTTCTTGTGACTTAATATGTATATCAGTTAAACAAGTACAAGTTAAAATATTGAAAGAACGTTTATTGGAAAGGGAATAATTTTTTTGTCTTTACATATATACATACACAAAAGTTTCTTTAGCAAGTATCTGCTTCCTTATAGAGAATATCAAAACTCACACTTAGTGAAATGTGAAAGAATTAATTGTGATTTAGAAATTATTCTTATTTCCAGCATGTTGTATTCCTTTCCTCTTTAAAGATACTGGCATTAAAATACTTAATAAGTTCTGCTACTGTTGTTCATTTTTCACTTTGAAATAACAGGGCTTTTTGATTTGTTAGTGTGCATGTGTTTTTTTTTAGAGGAAATTTACTACAGTTGGTAATATTTTAATTTTATATTTGCTATCAGCCTGCAAATTTTTTTTTACGGCATTAAAAATCTTAGCACAGATATTTGAATACCCTTTTTTACTTTGCTTATAATTCCCGAGGCAAAGATGATAAAAATTACTAGTGTTACATAGTTGGAGTCTGCTTTTTTCTTAAGAATATTTCTACCATGTTTAGAATAGATGATTTGCTCATGTTGAATTGCCCTCTTGGCAAATAGGAGATTGCTAATTTTATTCTCTTTTTTTTTATATGTTGAATATATCAGAAGCCTGGTGTGTTTTTTTTTTGTTTGTTTTTGTTTTTTTAGCAGACTTTGTATTTTCATTATTAGGAGAGAATAGTAAACTGATCTTTGAAAGTCATACACCAGTATAAATAAAAACTTCACCACCCTAAATTTAGCACACTCTTTTACTTTAAATGGAAACAGTGTCAAGATATCTTACCTACCAAGTGAAGACCTTGTTCCTATTAAGAGATGTGAGTGTGAGAATCCAGGGCTACATAGTGATCCCCACACTCGGCTGGTAAAACCTTTGTGACAGTTATTTCAGGGTTAAGGCAGAATTTTGAAGTATTAGGTGATCGATTCAGTTTTATTTTTTTTCCTTTCAGGATTCTAAAGGAAAACATTCTCTGTTATCTGTTATAGGTCCTCAGAATGGTTGGAATGACCCTCCAGCTTTGAACAGAGTACCCAAAAAGAAGAAGGTACTAGAAAAAGATGTCCATCCAATGGCCTACAGATGTTATGTTAACCACGTAGCCACTTGGAACACACTATACTTCACTGATCCTTTTAAAGGCGAAGCTTACTGAGTGATGTATTTAAAGTGTATTTCAACATGCACCTTCTAATCCATGGAAGGAAGGAAAGGAAGTAGAAAACAGTATCATCAAAACCTTGTTCTGATGATGGTGATATAAATTAAAGCCCCTTTAGAAGGCAAGATATAAATTCCCAACAGGCCTCTTTCAAAAAGTAGGAAATTTCAGGCTTCAGGGTTGCTTTCTTTTTTTTTTTTTTTTTTTTTTTTGAGTTACTTTGGTCTTTGGGTTCTACTAGTAATCATGAATTTGGCAATTAAATTTTGGACTTTTTCTGTCACGTATAGTATGAATGAAATAGCCTTGTGGCTGAGCACTATACAGATCTCAGTAACTGTTAAGAGCTGTTAGAGCACAAATTAAGATGCTGCTTTTTGCCCAAGCCATTTTTACTTTTAAAAAAATTCCTAATGACCTCTTTCCCCAACTATACTAATGAGAGGCCATAATATAAAATTAGGAGGCATTAAATAAGGAAAGAAACCCAATATTTAGGTTAGTATTAATCAGAAACTGAATTTAGTACTTTTAGTGTGATAGAATTGCCAAATAATGTCTACTTAGGTATTACATTCTGATCATATTAAACACATGTGCACATACACGCCCATGCATACTTGGCACCTCTGATTCCAGTATTGCTACATACAGTTCTCCAGACCTGATACCCTCTTTCAAAAATGCTATGGTGCTTGTAATCCCAGCACTTTGGGAGACTGAGGCGGGCAGATCACAAGGTCAGGAGTTCTAGACCAGCCTGGCCAGTATGGTCAAACCCCATCTCTACTAAAAATACAAAAATTAGCTGGGCGTGGTGGCACGCGCCTGTAATCCCAGCTACTTGGGAGGCTGAGGCACGAGAATTGCTTGAACCTGGGAGGCGGAGGTTGCAGTGAGCTGAGATTGCGCTATTGCACTTCAGCCTGGGCGACAGAGCGGGACTCTATCTCAAAAAAAAAAAAAAGCCATGGTTTTAGCTCCGCTTTATTGGGGATAAGTATGGGAGGGTAAAGGGAGACAAAGAAGTCCAGGTTTGAGCTCCCTATCCCTCTTAGCCAAATCAGCTCTGTTTTTATGTTTTACTTTGTTTACTTTATTCTGCATAAAATTTCATTTGAAAAAAGTATTCTACTACTATTAAAAAATTTGTTTAGCCGTGGTATAACCTAACTCCCTTATTTTAAGCTGAAGAAATGTTGCTATCGTTTTTATTCTTACTCCTGGTGTCTTTTATTTCCATCTTTTAACAGATGCCTGAAAACTTCATGCCTCCTGTTCCCATCACATCACCAATCATGAACCCGTTGGGTGACCCCCAGTCACAAATGCTGCAGCAACAGCCTTCAGCTCCAGTACCACTGTCAAGCCAGTCTTCATTCCCACAGCCACATCTTCCAGGTGGCCAGCCCTTCCATGGCGTACAGCAACCTCTTGGTCAAACAGGCATGCCACCATCTTTTTCAAAGCCCAATATTGAAGGTGCCCCAGGGGCTCCTATTGGAAATACCTTCCAGGTAACAGTAAATTTGTAGAAGTGGAATGGGAAGATGGCTGTGTTTCAGTATATTTTCTTTAATGTGCTAACTTTTATGATTGCATGATTATTATTAAACATCTAGACAACCTAAACAAAAAATAGTAACTTTTTTTTAAGATCGATCATGTATGTATATTATTTTTCAATTACATGGCCACATACAAACTTCTCTAGAAGAAGGTTATACATTTGAGAGCGTTTGTTTACTATAACTTGGCTTAGTCAGTAGCTACAATTTAAAATCAGATAAATCATCTCTGCGTGAGGTTGCTAAGCAAAAGCTGTTTCCAAAGATTTTTCTCCTTAAAATAGAAAAGAAAAATATAGTGAGTTATATATTTTTATGTGTATGTATAAAAGCTAATAATACAGCCTTATCATCAGATAGAGATAAACATTTTTTACTTGCTTTTCACACACAAACAGCCAGTTGGCAAAGTCCTGCATATTGAAAAATCTAACACATTTCTACATAATACACTTAGACATACAGAGTTAAGTATTTTGATCTATTCATGAGAAATAAAGAGCTTAGATCAAAGTTCAATATAAGAAGATGAAACAAGCTCCTGCCCAAGTAAAAAAACTAGTTCTACTGTCTGTTTCTGTCTTTGATTCATTGAAGTCAAATTTGTAAAGACTGTATCTCTTGTCACAAGATTATACTTTACTGTTAAGAGATAATATGCCTGAAGCCGGGTGCAGTGGCTCACGCCTCTTATCCCAATGCTTTGGGAAGCCGAGGCGGGTGGATCACCTGAGGTCAGGAGTTGGAGACCAGCCTGGCCAGCATGGTGAAACCCTGTCTCTACTAAAAATACAAAAATTAGCTGGGCGTGGTGGCGGCGCCTGTAGTCCCAGCTACTCGGGAGGCTGAGGCAGGAGAATTGCTTGAACTCAGCAGGCAGAGGTTGCAGTGAGCTGAGATTGCGCCACTGCACTCCAGCCTGGACGACAGAGCGAGACTCCGTCTCAACAACAACAACAAAAAGAGATAATATGCCTAAGGAATTTTTAAACATTAAGAGTTGCATTATAAAAACATTTTGACAAAGATGAGAAGAAATGGTTCTTTCTGAAAAAATAAAAATTAATTATAGAGTTGTATTTAAAAAAAAATAAAAAAGATTATAAGCCTGTGTTATTTTGGGAAGCTAATCAGCCACTTATCTTTGTTTAGACTTGGGTTCTCATGCTGTACTCACCTAGACCTGAACCTTAGTTACCATCAAAAGAGAAAGATACATAGTGTTCAGCCAGGCTGTATACCCAGCTGCCTGCCTACTTGGATGTCTTGGAGGTACTTCAACCTCAGCATGTCCAAAACCTAATTCATACTCTTCCTCCCAAACTTAGTCATCTTTCCTTGTTTCCTGTTATCAGTGAGTGGCACCATAATCTTTTCTGTGGAATCCAGGCAAAAACCTGGGGATCATCTTTATGCACTTTTCCCTTTAACCTCTCTTTTAAATCTCCCCAAGTCTCGTCGATATTACTCCAAAATATTTTTTGAATCCTTTCTTCTCCACATTTCTACTGTAGTCCAAGCTACCTTCATCTCTAATCTTCATCAGTGCAGGAACCTCCTAATTGGTCTGCCGATATCTACTTTGATCCATCTCTAATTTGGCCTTTTTTCCTCTTTGCCTAAAACATTACAGCTTCCCATTGTTCTCAGTATAAGGACCAAAATAGTCAACATTGTCTGGGAGGCCTCAGTTCATACTCCTTGTTCTCTCTGCTCCAGCTATACTGGCCTTTTAGCTCCCTTTTACCGTGATCCTTCCTTTCTACATGTTATTCCTTTCGTCTGGAATGCTCTTTTTTCCTCACTTAACTGTTCAACTCCATTTTGTCCTTCCAGTAAAATTTCCTGAGAGAGCCTTCCCTTCCCTTCAGTCAAATCTCAGTTATAGCATCTTTTGTTTCCACTACGTGTTAACGTACTGCAGTTGCTATTTTATGTACATTGGTGATGTTTTTAAACTGTGCCTCTTCCATTAACCTGTAAACTCCCTGAGAACTGAGATCATTTCTGTATTGGCTCACCAGTAGTACGTAGCCAGTTCCTGGTAAATAGTTGCCTAATATTTTTTGAATGAGTGAAAGAATGAACTAATAAAACTTAACTTAAACATTTCTTCTTTGTTCTTTCATCTGTATACTCAGCAGCATCGGGATGTCTTCTCTCTTAATCTTTGGCTTAATCTTGCAGTTTTGATCACAGCCCAGTTAACAACCTCTAAGAGTAAAACAAAGAATAGAAGAATGCCAGCATACACGTAAATGAGCCAATAGGCAGAGCAAGCAGCCATTCTAACCAGCCGAGTGTGTTTTCCAGTGCCTTGTTTTTATTCTCTGCTGGCACATACTTATTTCCCATCAGTTATAAACAATATTGACCAACATATGTTACCTAAATTAATCAACTACTTTGTATCCAGTCCTGCATATGAAAATCCAAACTGTAGGAAGAGCGCCTACACTTTGTACTAGATATCTGGTTTTTATTTTTACTTATCGTAAGTGATTTCACACATTAAATTTTAATTTGATTTTGAATAGGTCTATGTACAAGGTTGTCGGTTTCTGTTTATCACATAGATTCAAGATTGTGTATATAAGGTAGCTTCTGGTCATTTCTGATCAGTTTTTGGTGTGTTTCTTCCAGCATGTGCAGTCTTTGCCAACAAAAAAAATTACCAAGAAACCTATTCCAGATGAGCACCTCATTCTAAAGACCACATTTGAGGATCTTATTCAGCGCTGCCTTTCTTCAGCAACAGACCCTGTATGTATTTATTTTTTTAAATCATATTTTGCTTAATTAGAAGAATCCTTGGCCAGGTGTGGTGGCTTATGCGTGTAATCCCAGCACTTTGGGAGGCCGAGGTAGGTGGATCATTTGAAGCCAGGAGTTCAAGACCATCCTGGCCAACATAGCAAAACCCCGTCTCTACTACAAATACAAAAAATTAGCTGTGTGTGGTGGAATACACCTGTAGTCCCAGCTACTCGAGAGGCTAAGGCAGGAGAATTGCTTGAACCCAGAAGGCAGAGGTTGCAATGAGCCGAGATCGCGCCATTGCACTCCAGCCTGGGTGACAGAGACTCCGTCTCAAAATAAATAAAATATAATAAAATAAAAGAATTCTTTATGGAGTTCTTCTATAATTATTGTTTGAAGTCCTACAAGGTATATTTCTAAAAATTTGTACAAAAGTAATAAAGCTAGCACTTACATAGTTTGCATTACATATAGAAATATATTTAATTGCTTTTTATATATAAATGTACTTAATCTTCACAATAACCTATGGCAGATAGATTTGTCATTTTTATTTTACAGACAAGAAAAGTAAGGCAGAGAGCAGTTAAGTAACACTTAAGGTCAGAGCCAGCATTCAAACCCAGACTGTCTGGCTCCAGAATTCATGCTCTCAACCACCAAGCTATACTGCCTCTCATCAACAAAACTGTATTTGGCACATAAATGGAGCATAATGGTGCTATGCAAGAAACTCAGATTTGGGATTTCTTTCTGAGCTTATATTGAAATTGTTAAAAGTAGATAGATCATCTTCTAAAGCTTTGCAGAGATGTTAAAGATAGTTAAATGTTTTAGATATCGGAGGCATATTTACATTTAAAGCAACTGATTTTACTTAGTTTACTTAAGATACCCCTGTATTGCAACAACAAACATTCCACAAAGCCAGTCTTAAGTGAAATTTCATTTTCTGCTAGCACACATTGAATATTTTTAATCATCGGCTACTTGTCTGCATGAAAAAACATCTTCTAGATCTTATTGTTCATCAGACATTGAGTATTAATATGTGCAGCCTTCTGCTGGTCAGTGGCTTTGTGGAAAGCCATTCTCTGTACTGAAAGTATCAGGAAAGCAGTTAACATAAACCTTAGTGCCTGACATTCTGGGAGTGATGGGAAGACCAAGGTGGAAACAAGAGAGCAGACGAAGCTGATAACCAGATACATGCTAGCCCTTATGCACACTTCTAAATAGACAGGCTGTAGTCATTCAAAAATGGAAGCATCTGAATAAGAATGACAACACACCAATTCTTCAGGCGTGAGTCAGTATAGAGAGGTTGGGAAGACACGTAATACATGGCCCAACTCAATACATTTTTTGTTAATTTACCCTTCTCTCGGTCATCATACTATATTCCTCTTGGATACCGAGGAGCTCTGGGTAGTAGAGAACCATAAAAGACAAAGTGTTCCTATAATTTCTGTAATTAGTTGGGGAAGAAGTTCTAATATCCTGCCTGTCCGGCTGCCCTTGCCCCCTTGGGGTAGGGCTCCTGTTTGTAGCTAGATAAGGTTAACTTTGTTTTTCTTTTTTTTTGAGACGGAGTTTCACTCTTGTTGCCCAGGCTGGAGTGCAATGGTGCAATCTCGGCTCACTGCAACCTCCGCCTCCCAGGTTCAAGAGATTCTCCTGCCTCAGCCTCCCTAGTAGCTGGAATTACAGGCATGTGCCACCACGCCCGGCTAATTTTGTATTTTTAGAAGAGACAGGGTTTCTCCATGTTGGTCAGGCTGGTCTCGAACTCCCAACATCAGGTGATCCGCCCACCTCGGCCTCTCAAAGTGCTGGGATTACAGGCATGAGCCACCGCACCTGGCCAGGTTAACTTTGAGCAAGGATTGTAAGGTTTCCTTTCCGCAAAAGTTCATTTTAATCAGTAGTTGGAATAGTTTTTATAGCATGGATGTATCTTATTTTCACTTTATGTCTAAACAGCACAAAGTAATTTTGCCACACAACTTGGTATGTAGCATCCTTGATGGCCTGTCTCTTCTCTCTCTTCTCCAAGCACACTGGCATTCCTTCCTTGAACACACCAAGAGCATTTCAGCGTCAGGACTTTATACTTGCTGCTCCTTCTGCCTGGAACTCTTCCTCCACATATCTGCATTGTTTGTTTCCTCCCAAGTTCAAGGCCTCTGCTCACATGTCCCATTAGCCATCAGGCCTTTCTTTATTACCCCCAACTCCCAACATGTTTAGCCCCCTTCCTCTATTAACTTTTCTTCATAGCAGTTATCACCATCTGACATGCAATATATTGTTCATTTAGTATCTTTTCTCACCCAGTGGGATATGAGCTACATGACATACAAGACTTTGTCCCTGGTACAGCACATAGTAAGCAGCCAATAAATATTGAACTAACATAAGGCTGTGGTATAATGTAGAACATTAAGTTAATCATGTAATTTTAAAACTGTTAGTTTTAGTTTTAGAATAGTTTCTTTGATTATACTTTACAGTGCTATGGTAGAGAGAAAAAAAAGCTTTTTAATTTAATAATTTATTTTACTACTTCCCTCAGTAATCTTAAGCTGCCAAAAGATAGTTTTCTTTCTTTCTTGGTGCTTTAAAGGCTTAGAAAAAGGCAGGATTAAACAAATGTAACTAAGTGTTTAAGTAGTATTTTTGAAAGGTTAAAACAAGATTCCACAGTTCACCTATATGTTTGCCTTCTACCACCCATAATCGACAATAACTACTTAGACCTTCTTTTTTGTGATACACTGACCCATTGCTGCCTCCTGATGCTTGTGAATATAGTGCAAGCAAACATGCATATATACCTTATCAAGTGAGTTTGCAGTTCATATGAAATCCAATCAGTACTCTTTCATGCACTGGAAGTAAGTCTCATCCTCTCCTCATCCCAGTCCCCTCCACCCTCCACCCTTGATAGATGATTGATCTCTGTTCTAATAATCTGTTCAAGTTTCTTTTTTTTTTTTTTTTTTTTTTGAGACGGAGTCTTGCACTGTCGCCTGGGCCTGGAGTGCAGTGGCGTGATCTCGGCTCACTGCAACCTCCACCTCCTGGGTTCAAGCAATTCTCCTGCCTCAGCCTTCCGACTAGCTGGGATTACAGGCGCCTGCCACTACGCCCAGCAAATTTTTTGTATTTTTAGTAGAGACAGGGTTTCACCATGTTGACCAGGCTGGTCTCAAACTCCTGACCTCATGATTTGCCTGCCTTGGTCTCCCAAAGTGCTGGGATTACAGGCGTGAGCCACCACGCCCGGCCATAATCTGTTCAAGTTTCTTAGTTGTAGTTGCCTCCATTTCTTTATAAAATGAAGCCATTCAACATTTTAAGTATAAGGTTTAGTGCAATGAGATAGGGCAAGTTCTTAGGTTAAAAGTTAATGTTCAAATATAACATCTATTTTTTCTTTCCTGCAGCAAACCAAGAGGAAGCTAGATGATGCCAGCAAACGTTTGGAGTTTCTGTATGATAAACTTAGGGAACAGACAGTAAGTTTTGGAGGAAAAGGATTTATGATAATCATTTATTCCTAGTTGCTAGTAAAACAGTTGTCTTATCAGCACTCCCATTTAGTATGCATGGGGGCAAAATTGTCATGACATTTAGAGAATGGGCATGGCTGTGTTGAATCATAAATTCCACTCACTGGGGTTAAGGGGATACGGGTGTGTGTGTGTGTGTTTGTGTGGGTGTGTTGAGAGAGACATTTTAACCCTCTCATAACAAGAGTATAAATACAAACTGGCCTGTGTTGGCCATAAGGTAGCTGACCTTCTGCTGTTCCTTTTATATGGCCCAGTTACAAGAAATCAAAGAGTATGCAGATACTCTGTTTTCCAGGGACTAAATCTATAATCTTTATCATAGTCTAAGACTCTTGACCCTTTTCTTTTAGGATAGCCATTATACAAAAGCAAAGCCAAATGTAGCCACAAGATGAATAGGGTAATGTGCTGTAACTATGAAGATAGCCAGGAGTAAGAAGTCAGTTCACTACGTTTGTTCTCTTGTCCCCACCTCACCATTCTTTTCTAAAATTGTCTTGTTTTATTAATGAAAGCACTAGGAAAGGAGAAGAAAAAAAGAAGTGGGACTTTCTTTTTATTTTTTCCATTTCAGCATTCCTCTAACCCATTCCCCACACTCAGTTCCATCAGATGAAAATAACCATTTCTCTCATGAGAACCAAACTAAAGAAAGTTGATATAACAGTGGAAGTAGTGTGGTCCTTGGACTGATCCAAAATAAAGTCTTCTCGGTGGGCACAGTGGGATATGCCTGTAATCCCAGCTACTGAGGAGGCTGATGCGGGAGGATCACTGGAGCCCAGGAGTTTGAGACCAGCCTGGGCAACATAGCAAGACCGCATTTCCAAAAAAAAAAAAAAAAAACAGAAGATACAATTAGCGTATACATCTAGATGAGTATATATTAAAACATTTTTTAAAAATGAGATCAAAATAGGCCAGGCATGGTGGCTCACGCCTGTAATCCCAGCACTTTGGGAGGCTGAGGCGGGCAGATCACCTGAGGTCAGGAGTTTGAGACCAGCCTGGCCAACATGGCAAAACCCCGTCTCTACTAAAAATACAAAAATTAGCTGGGCATGGTGGCACACGGCTGTAGTCCTAGCTACTCAGGAGGCTGAGGCAGGAGAATCGCTTGAACCCGGGAGGCGGAGGTTGCAGTGAGTCGAGATCGCACCACTGTACTCCAGCCTGGGTGACAGAGTGAGACTCCATCTCAAAAAAAAAAAATCCAAATAAAGTCTTCTGTAAAGTATGGACACCTATGCCAAGTAATGACATAGTAAAAAACTACAGGTTTTATAGTTTTAAGAGATGACAGGATTATAAAAAGCAGGTAAGAATTAGTAAATTTGGGCCCTTCCTTTGAGATATTATGATTAAGAATCTTTAATCTCCTTTTTGTGCATAGGAGAATTTTTTAAAGGTCTGAAGCTCTCTTAAGTGGAGAGAGAAATTAGCATTTCAGTTTGGAGAGGAAATCGGGCTGCTTTTCTGTAAGAAAATACCTGGCTTATACATGTATAATTCATAAATAACTTATTTATGTAAATCATTTTGTTGTGGTTGTACTTGATAACTGTTGCTTGGTTCAAGAAACTTTCTAGAAATGCTAAATGGTTTATATATTTTTATAATGTTTGTTTCAAATTCCACTTAAATATCTGGGTTTAATGTTTATGGAGGATCTCATGGGAAGTTATCCCTTAATTTAATTCTTTCTCTTGGTTCACTTTTGTTTCAGCTTTCACCAACAATCACCAGTGGTTTACACAACATTGCAAGGAGCATTGAAACTCGAAACTACTCAGAAGGATTGACCATGCATACCCACATAGTTAGCACCAGCAACTTCAGTGAGACCTCTGCTTTCATGCCAGTTCTCAAAGTTGTTCTCACCCAGGCCAATAAGCTGGGTGTCTAAAAGGACAGCTTCTCTTCCACTCAATATTGCCATTTTTCCAAAGAAACATGTTAAAAAAAAAAATTATAAGACATGGACTAGTCCTCATTAGCATGTTTGCATAGCAACCAGTCAAGAGCATTTACACTATTTCTGCTGATATACTCACCTTAGAACTGCTCAGAACCCTGGTGCTTTATTTTTGTTTTAATCTTTTGTTGCCAGTGATGATTTTCCTATTCTGCAAATAGTGTATTTCCTGGATTACACATAGTATGGTTTCCTGAAGTATTCTGATAAATGTGTTTTTTAAAACCTCAATATACTTTTTAGAAAAGGAGCATCTGGTTATGCATAAAGCAGAGCTAAAACTAAATTTCTTTCATGTCCTCCCTACTTCCTCAGTGTCAATCAGATTAAAGTGTGTAATCCTATTTTATGTGTGTATAGTCTTTTTTGAAACAGCTGCTTAAAATTTAGTTTATTTTTTGTGTCTTAGGATTCCTGAGTAAATAACTACATCTACAAACTGCTACATGGGTTTTAGCAGATATTAATAAAAATGGGATCACTGGCTTTAACTATATAGGAAAAGACTGGACATTTTTGTTCTGTAGAATGCATTGAGCTTTTTTCTATTTGTAAATGTTTCAATATTCTGTTTGAGTTTTAAGACTAAATTGTGTCCATTTTATAGCTAGAAATTTTTTCACCTATTTTGTTTAAATTACCTATAGCTGTGCCAGGCATGGTGGCTCACGCTTGTAATCCCAGCACTTTGAGAGGCCGAAGCAGGCAGAGGTCGGGAGTTCGAGACCAGACTGGCCAACATGGAGAAACCCTGTCTCTACTAAAAGTACAGAATTAGCCGGGCGTGGTGGCGCATGCCTATAATCCCAGCTACTTGGGTGGCTGAGGCAGGAGAATTGCTTGAACCCGGGAGGCGGAGGTTGCGGTGAGCCGAGATCACGCCATTGCTGTCCAGTCTGGGCAATAAGAGCAAAACTCTTTCTCAAAAAAAAAAAAAAAAATTACCTGTAGCTTTGAGGTTTAAGTTCAGAAAGAAAGCTTTAATTTCAGTCAGCCTGTAAATCAAAGCCACACATTTTGCACCCAGTTTTTCTGTCAAGTGACTTTATTATCATCTGTCTTAAGAACAGTGTGGTAAGGCCGGGCGCGGTGGCTCACGCCTGTAATCCCAGCACTTTCAGAGGCCAAGGCAGGCGGATGACCTGAGGTCAGGAGTTCAAGACCAGCCTGACCAACATGGAGGAACCCCATCTCTACTAAAAATACAAAATTAGCCAGCCAGACGTGGTGGCACATGCCTGTAATCCCAGCTACTCGGGCGGCTGAGGCAGGAGAATCGCTTGAACCTGGGAGGCGGAGGTTGCAGTGAACCGAGATCGCACCATTGCACTCCAGCCTGGGCAACAGCCTCCATCTCAAAATAAATAAATAAATAAAAGAACAGTGTGGTAAACAAAAAATTAATGGTCCCTGTAGAATCTGGAGAAGAGTTAGATAATAATTTTCATAGTTTATGCAATATTCCTTAAGAGGGTTAAAAAACTAGAAAATAAACACTGTGGAGTAAGTTAAGTCAATTTTCTTCAGCCTGAGTGAAATAGTTTGCAAGAACCTCTTGATTCTATTTGCCAAGATTCCCTACTCAACAAATACATGCTGCATTTTAAAAAATTACCCTGGCTGGGTGCAGTGGCTCACACCTGTAATCCCTGCACTTTGGGAGAAGAGGCAGGAGGATCACTTGAGCCCAGGAGTTCAAGACTAGCCTGGGCTGTAGTGAGACCGTGTCTCTACTAAAAATAAAAAAAATTAGCCCGATGTGGTGACACATGCCTGTGGTCCCAGCTACTTGGGAGGCTGAGGCGGGAGGATCCCTTGAGCCCCAGAGGTCAAGGCTGCAGTGAGCTGTAATTGTGCCACTTCACTCCAGCCTGGGTGACAGACACCCTGTCCCAAAAAAGAAAGAAAAAAAAAAAAAAGAGTACCTTGATAGCATGTACATATGTTGGAGTCTCAGGAATGGACTATCTAGACTTATAAATGGATATATTGTCACCTAGCTCATTGGTTTCCTATGCACTTGATAGTGTGAGTCACACGCCTGTAATCCCAGCACTTTGGGAGGCCAAGGCAGGTGGATCTCGAGGTCAGGAGTTCAAGACCAGCCTGGCCAAGATGGTGAAACCGCGTCTCTACTAAAAATACAAAAACATTAGCCGGAGTGGTGGCAGGCGCTTGTAATCCCAGCTACTCGGGAGGCTGAGGCAGAGAATTGCTTGAACCCAGGAGGCGGAGATTGCAGTGAGCCAAGATCGTGCCACTGCACTCCAGCCTGGGCAACAGAGCGAGACTCCGTCTCAAAAATAAATAAATAAATAAAAATAAAAAGATAGTGTGAGTCAGTTCCACTACTCGTTGAAGTGACAAAGTGACCCTCTGGATTTGACCCTGAACAGTAGTATCAGCCCAAGACCATCTGCAGAGTGGACTGGCTTCAAGTTTTTTTTTTTAATTAATCACCCTTATAGTTAGAATTTGTTTTGCAGTTGCATGTTTATCTTGACATGACAATGGCATATTTGGTGTCATTCTACCAAAAAAAAACTATTTTCCAAAAGATGAGAAACGAGTAGGTGGCAGTGGAGCCCTGGCCAACCCAAAGATTTATTTAAGAATATGAGTGTATAGGCCGGGCGCGGTGGCTCACGCCTGTAATCCCAGCACTTTGGGAAGCTGAGGCGGGCAGATCACGAGGTCAGGAGATCGAGACCATCTGACTAACATGGTGAAACCCCGCCTCTACTAAAAATACAAAAAATTAGCCGGGCGTGGTGGCAGGTGTCTGTAGTCCCAGCTACTCTGGAGGCTGAGGCAGGAGAATGGCGTGAACCTAGGAGGCGGAGCTTGCAGTGAGCAGAGATCGCGCCTCTGCACTGCAGTCTGGGCGACAGTGCAAGACTCCATCTCAAAGAAAAAAAAATGAGTATGAGTGTATAAAACTACCTGCCACTGGTAGCAGGGCACCTGCTCTCTCCTTTTTCATTACATTGTGATTTTTTTTTCCACTTGCAGCCATTTCTCTATGTGGCTTATAATCTTGGAAGAGTTTCATATAAATGAATGGAGGTGAGATGAGCCAAACTCAAATTGTTTTTGTCTCTGAAATATGAAGATAATAGGCAATTAGAGAAAGTTTTTCTTCAGAAAAGACAACTTTTAAGAAGTTTTCTTTTTTAAAAAATGGAAAAAAAAGTCAACTTGATTTTGTAAATAATTCTATTTTTAATGTTTTCAACGTGGATGGCATTAGAGTATATGCCTGCACAATTCAGGAACCTCTGTTTAAGGCTGTTCTTATATAAAGATTTCACGGATCATACAAGTCTTTGTTGTGACATTTTGGAAAGTTAGAGCTGTATTTTCTACCCTTGTCATTACTTCATATATAGTGGCCAGTAATGCTTTCTGAATGCCAGGTCTGTTCAATTTACTTTTTATGATGTGTGCTTTTTTTTTAAAACCTACTTAATTTTAAAACAAGGGAAGGAATGTGAGGAAAGCTGGTGGGTGAGGCCGGGTGTTGGCCAGGAACTGTATCAGAGTCTCTGGAGGTGGTGCTTTTTATATTACTTCTGGTCCTCTTCTCCCTTCTTTATACCACCCTTTGGGTTTGATGGGATGGATGTACCCTTAGGCTGCACTTGAGAATCATTATGTGTAATCAGAGATAGAGTCAGTGGAGGTAGTTGTTCATTGGAGCAGTGTGGGGCAGGAAAAAGTTGGGAACAGAACTGCTCTATACCCAACTGTTGAGAGTCCAGTGAACCTATATATTCTTTGGATTCAGAAAATTGTCATGTATCCTGGAGGACAGGAAGATGCCATAGGATCCCTGGCGACCAGATGTACTTTGATGGCTCATGCCTGTAATTGCAACATTTTGTGAGGCTGAGGCAGGAGGATTGCTTGAGCCCAGGAGTTCAAGACCAGCTTGTGCAACATAATGAGACCCCATCGCTACAAAATAAATTTTTTTAAATTAGCCAGTCATGGTGGCACATGCCTATAGTTCCAGCTACTCAAGAGGCTGAGGTGGGAGGATCACTTGAGCTCAGGAGGTTGAGGCTGCAATGAGCTGTGATCATGCCACTGCACTCCAGCCTGGATGACAGAGAGAAATCCTCTCTCAAAAGAAGTGGGGGAGGGAGGGATGACACGTTTTTGATAACCACTTAACACCTGACCATATTTGGATTCACCTAAGAGTGAATGTGAAGCCATTTGTTGACTCTTCTGCCACAGTGGAGACTTCATTTGGAATTGTCATGAAGTTTCAGCCAATAGTGTATGCATATGTATATATATACACACACACAAACATACAGATTCCCCCCCACCCCTTTGTTTTGTTCCACTGCTATGGTAGCAGCATCCTCAAGTATAACCTCTGATTAATCTGCAGGGGTGTTTATCACATGCTGAAGATGTCAGCATCTTCAAATTATTCTGTAAATAAGCATAAGAGGGACTGTGCACAGACACTTTTAACCATTTGATCTTATGGATAAATGTCCCAAATCTTTAAATAAATGTCCCAAATCTTTAAATAAATGTAGATTACAGAGAAAAAGCAAATTAGCTTTCACTTTTTCTGGTACATTGTTTAATCAGTTTTAACAGGCCTTTCCTGGTAGGTACTGCTGCTGATTGAAAGGATCTGCCATTTACTTGAGCTGGGCACTCAATTATGTATTTAAATCTCTCTCAATCTTCACATCAGCCCAGGGCACTACGTAATTCCAGTTGCTAAGCACAGCTGGAATCTGGATTCCAACCCAGGTCTCAGCCTAGTAAGCCTGTCTTTTTCCCACAAAAAGAGATTTTTTTTCCCCCCAAGGTAAAGATAACTGCTACTGTATAACAAAAACCTGAGTTTTGGTTTTGATTTTGCTCCCTTGCCCCACTTACCCATTAGTCTGCAGAGACCTGGCTTCTTCCACAAAAGAGGAATATACACATTATAGTGGGTAACATTTATTGAGCATGGTGTGTTGGCATCTTTTCAGGCAGGTGCTCTTCACATGGTGGGTAAGGTAACTCTTGTCAGCACAGAGCCTACATCTCCACTACTTGTGATATACAAAGGAAAGAGAGACCCTCTCACAATATCTATATATTGTTAGTAAAGACAACTCTGGCTTCATTTGGGTCTCATGCCCACTACCTGATCAAGGTCTGTGCCAGGGAGGTGGAGTACCAGAACTGGCTGGTCCGGATAGTATGCCCACCCTAGTGTGAGCCCAGTTAATTTTTTTTTTTTTTTTTTTTTTTTGTAGAGATGGAGTCTCGCTCTGTCACCCAGGCTGGAGTGCAGTGGCATGATCTTGGCTCACTGCAACCTCCACTTTCCGGGTTCAAGCAATTCTTCTGCCTCAGCCTCCCGAGTAGCTGGGACTACAGGCCCACACCGCCATGCCCGGCTAGTTTCTTTTCTATTTTAGTAGAGATGGGGTTTCACCCTGTTGCCCAGACTGGTCTCAAACTCCTGAGCTCAGGCAATCCACCCGCCTCGGCCTCCCAAAGTGCTAGGATTACAGGCATGAGCCACCACACTCAGCCGAGCCCAGTGATTTCAAACCCTACCAAGACCACATAGAGTGATTCCCCAAAGCAAAGGGTGCAGTGTAGAGAAAAAGAGGGAGAAAATGGCCAGAACAACGGCATACTTCTTGTAGATCACACCAGGGAAGAGTTACAGAACCAGCGTTCTAGACTGGAGGGAAGCCTTGGGTGGTAGTAGTAAAAAGCTATTAGGGAGCTCACTTTATCCCGACTGCTGGAAGTAGTGTCTTCATGACACCTGGGAGTCAAGGAACTGGGTTCTAGTGCCTTCTCTGCCACATACTGTTAGCCAAATCATGTCACCACCTTCTGCCTCTGTTTCCCCAACTGTAAAATGAGGGAATAGGACTAGATTTCTAACTTCACTTGCAGCTCTGAAAGTCTGTGATACATCCGCCTTTTCCACAATGTCTTTGTCTGTTACCTACAAGTCTTCAGGAGGGATAAAAATTTTGGTAAGTACCAAAGCTTTTAAGAAAGAGGACAGAAACAAGGCCGGGCGGGGTGGCTCACGCCTGTAATCCCAGTACTTTGGGAGGCCGAGGTGGGCGGATCACAAGGCCAGGAGTTCAAGACCAGCCTGGCCAATATGGTGAAACCCCATCTCTACTAAAAATATAAAAAGTTAGCTGCGTGTCGTGACACAGACCTGTAGTCCCAGCCACTTGGGAGGCTTAGGCAGGAGAATTACTTAAACCTGGGAGGCAGAGGTTGCAGTGAGCTGAGATCACACTACTGTATTCCAGCCTGGGCAACAGAGTGAGACTCCGTCTCAAAAAAAAAAAAAAAAAAAAAAAAAGGCAGAAACAACTGAGGCCTGTTTCTATTTCGATAACGTTTTTCCCCTTGTAGAGTTAATTTGATTTCCATTCTGGAGCAAAATCAATTCTGCACTTCCCCTGGTTGGAAATTAATGGGCAAGCATTAAAGAGAGAGTTTGTAATTTGAGGACTTGGGATAAACATTTGCTTGGCCTTGAAGTCCTCAAGTAGTGAGTCCTCCTCATTAAGGATATATATTTTCATGAAATTAACCTTTCTGCAAACCTGTTTCCCACATCAAGCTTAGGCTACATTTGAGTGATGGCTTAGGATACTCAAAATGAACCAGTTTTTCTTCTGGTGCTACAAATCTGGGTCACCCTTTTGACATTCCTGAACTCTATTTACAAATTCCCCCTCCCTGCTAGAGAACAGCAGGGGCCTTTGCCTTTTTAGAGCAGGCTGTGGTAATTGACACAGCAGGAAGAGAAAGAGGTCGTTGAAACGGAAACAATAACAGCAGCTAATGCTGAGAAATAAATAAGAACGTCTCTGCATTTATCTGCCCTTGGAAACCAAAATAACTATCCTAAAAGAAAACGGGTGGGTGTTGTGGAGGGAGGGGAACTGGAGAGCTGGAAGAGTTTGTGGGTGAAAACTTTATTAATGCTGTCTTCTGTCATAATAATAGGAAATGTTTATTTCAGAGAGCTGAGATTTGGGAGCAGGGAGAGCGGAGAGGAGTTTGGTTAGAGCGGAGAGGAGTTTGGTTAGGTTTATAGACCTCATTTCTAGACAGTTGCAGTGACTCATGCCTGTAATCCCAACACTTTGGGAGGCCTAGGCAGAAGGATCACTTGAGCCCAGGAGTTCAAGACCAGCTTGTACAACATAGTGAGACCCCCGTCTCTACAAAAAAAAAAAAAAAAAAAAAATATATATATATATATATATATTTTAATTAGCCAGGTGTGGTAACACATGCCTATAGTCCCAGCTACTTAGGATGCTGAGGTGGGAGGATTGCTTGAGCTCAGGAGGTTGAGGCTACAGTGAGCTGTGATTGCACCACTGCACTTCAGCCTGGTCAAAGGTGGATGTGGTATGGGTATTAACAAATGTTGACATGTCATGGCTGGGTCTTAAAAAAGCATGATTAGTGACTTCCAGAGCATTTATTAGAATTTGTGGTATATAATTCTTTTAGTGATTATTTGATTAATGTCTGCCTCCCCTACTGAACTGTGAATTCCCTGAGCATAAAGCCATAAACTCCTCTGTCTATGGAGCTGGGCTCAGTGCTTAACTTCTAGAATAGGCTCGATAAATACATATTGAATGAAAGAATGTTAATAGATTGAAACTCAAGATTGTTTGGAGAGATGCAAGGGGCAGCATATTGCTGACCAAAGTGACAGGTTTGGGTAGGTTTCAGTATGTCAATGGGTTTTTCATAAAGTAGACCTTCTTAACTATCTTATGAATCAGGAACGAATAGCCTTCAAATCTGGTCATCTCCAGAGCCCAATTCCCTACTGCCAAATTGCAGCAGTCATGGTGGCTCACGCCTGTAATCCCAACACTTTGGGAGGCTGAGGCCAGTAGATCACCTGAGGTCACGAGTTCAAGACCAGCCTAACCAACATGGAGAAACCCCGACTCTACTAAAAATACAAAATTAGCCGGGTGTGGTGGCACATGCCTGTAATCCCAGCTACTCGGGAAGCTGAGGCAGGAGAATCGCTTGAAACTGGGAGGCAGAGGTTGCGGTGAGCCGAGATCACGCCATTGCACTCCAACCTGGGCAACAAGAGCGAAACTGTCTCAAAAAAAAATTAGCTGGGCGTACTGGCGCACGCCTGCAGTCCCAGCTACTGGGGAGGCTGAGGCAGGAGAATCGCTTGAACCCAGGAGGCGGAGGTTGCAGTGAGCCGAGATCGCACCACTGCACTCCAGCCTGGTGACAGAGTGAGACTCTGTCTCAAAAAAAAAAAAAAAAAAAAAAAAGTCATCAGGAAATGTTGGAAGGGTCTTAAGCAATAAGGGTCTTTGTTAAAGGAAAACCCTTCACTCTTTTTCTCATCTAAAGCAATAGAAGCATTCATTTTAGAGGACCAGGTCTCCCATCATCCACTGCTATATAAATTCTCAGTGCGGAATTTTTCCAATCTATTTAGTACAGAAAGAGAGACACCAACCCTCCTGGGACTGGAGGAAGCAGAGAGGACTGATTTTCTTCTAAGCCGTGGTGTTGCTGTATCTCAAAACCCATCTTCCTGTAACCTTGAAGGCTAACTTTCCAACATTATGCTTCACTGGAATCATTCTAATGTAAAGCCTGTGAGTGATTATCTCACACTGTGAGCACAAAGATTGTTTAAACTTGAAGCTGTTCTTCATGTCCCTTAGCCAAGAGGCAACCTCCTTCGCCTTTAAATTCATAAGAGCCGCAGAGCTGATTCCTTTTTTGTGCCAAAGGAGTTGCCTTTAATGATTACCTCTGAAAAACCAAAGCAGATGATTTTTTTTCACAGTTCCCTTCAAAGCACGCCAATCCTGGCCCTGCTAGAATTCATTCCTTCAAGGTCTGAATCCCTGTAGCCTACCCAGTTATGCCTCTCTTCACAGTCTGGGACCCCCAGGAGCATCCTGGCTTTCTGGCCAGGCAGGTTATTACAACTGCATTCAGTCCATCTGTCTAGAATGATTAAAAAAATAGTAATAAAATAAGTGGTTCACACTAATTTAGGTACCAAACTCTACAAAGTTCTATTCCTGTGAAATGTGTGGTATTATCTCCATTTTGCACATAAAATACTGATGTTGAGATTATTTGGCACTTTGCCTGGAGAGGATTACCAGCATAGATCTGTCTTAATTCCCATAATATATAGGATGAAACTGAAGATCTGAAAGAGACTCATTGTCCCCAAATCACACAGTACTTGGATGTGCCAATTCAGAGTGGGAGGGCCAGACTTCAACCCAGGTCTTTTTTTTATTGTTAATTTTTAATTTTTGTGGGTACATAGTGGGTATACATGTTTATGGGGTACATGAGATATTCTGATACAGGCATGCAATGCATAATAATCACATTGGGGTAAATGGGGTGTCCATTACCTCAAGCATTTATCGTTCTTTGTGTTACAAACAATCCAGTTATACTCCTTTAGTTATTTTTAAATGTACAATAAATTATTATTGACTGTAGTCACCTTGCTGTGCAATCAAATACTATACATATATATATATATATATTTTTTTTTTTTTTTTTTTTTTGAGACGGAGTCTCGCTCTGTCAGCCAGGCTGGAGTGTAGTGGTGTGATCTTGGCTCACTGCAACCTCCGCCTCCTGGGTTCAAGCAATTCTCTGCCTCAGCCTCCCGAGTAGCTGGGATTACAGTTGCTCGCCTCCATGCCTGGCTAATTTTTTTGTATTTTTAGTAGAGATGGGGTTTCACCATCTTGGCCAGGCTGGTCTTGAACTCCTGACCTGGTGATCCACCCGCCTTGGCCTCCCAAAGTGCTGGGATTACAGGCATGAGCCACTGCGCCCGGCCAAATACTATATTTTATTCATTCTATCTAACTATATTTTTGTACCCATTAACCATCCCCCTTTCTCCCCTGCCACACTATCTTTCCCAACTATGCTTCCCTTCCCTGGTAGCCATTGTCCTACTTTCTATCTCCATGAGTTCAGTCATTTTAATTTTTAGCTCCCACAAATACATGACAACATGTAAAGGTTGCCTTTCTGTGCCTGGCTTATTTCATTTAACATAATGACCTCAAGTTCCATTCATGTTGTTGCAAAGGACAGGATCCCATTCTTTTTTATGGCTGACTAGTACTCCATTGAGTGTATGTACCACATTTTCTTTATCCATTCATCTGTTGATGGACACTTAGGTTGCTTCTAAATTGTGCTGCAATAAACATGGGAGTACAGATACCTCTTCCATGTACTGATTTCCTTTCTTTTGGGTATGTACCTAGCAGTGAGATTGCTGGGTCATATAAATATATTTATATTTTATATTTTATATATTTATATTATATAAGCATACTTATAAACATATATACAATAAATATTTCTGGAATATTCTATGAATGAATGGGTGAATAAACCTTGAATGCAATGCTTCAACCACTTCACATTTTTAATTAAACTATTAATTTTGAAGTAATTATTTATTCATATACAGTTATAAGAAATCATAGAGAAATTATACCTTTTACTCAGAGTCCTCAATGATATTATTAATAATTTCCATTTCCACCAACAGTGTATGAGGGTTCTCTTTTCTCCATATCCTTACCAGTATTTGTTATTGTCTGTCTTTTGGATAAAAGCCATTTTAACCGAGGTGAAATAATATGTCATTGTAGGTTTGATTTGCATTTCTCTGATGATAATGTTCAGCATTGTATCATATACCTGTTGGTCATTTGTTTGTCTTCTTTTGAGAAATGTCTGTTCAGATCTTTTGCCCATTTTAAAATCAGTATTTTTTTCCTGTGGAGTTTGAGCTTCTTATATATTTTGGTTATTAATCACTTGCCAGATGGGTAGTTTGCAAATATTTTCTCCCATTCTGTGGGTTCCATATTCACTTTATTGGCTGTTTCCTATGCTGTGCAGAAGCTTTTTAACTTGATGTGATCCCATTTGTCCACTTTTGCTTTGGTTGCCTGTGCTTGTGGGATATTACTCAAGAAATCTGGCTGGGTACAGTGGCTCACGCCTGTAATCCCAGCACTTTGGGAGGCCAAGGTGGGCAGATCACCTGAGGTCAGGAGTTTGAGACCAGCCTGGTCAACATGGTGAAACCCTGGACCCTACTAAAAATACAAAATTAGTCAGGTGTGGTGGAGCACACCTGTAATCCCAGCTAGTCAGGAGGCTGAGGCAGGAGAATCGCTTGAACCCAGGATGCAGAGGTTACAGTAAGCCAAGATTGTGCCATTGCACTCCAGCCTGGGTGACAAGAGTGAAACTCCATCTCAAAAAAAAAAAAAAAAAAAAGAAGTCTTTGTCCAGTCCAATGTCCTGCAGAGTTTCTCCCAATGTTTTCTTGTAGTACTTTGATAGTCTAAAGTCTTAGATTTAAGTCTGTAATCCATTTTGATTTTTTATATAGTGAGAGATAGGGGTCTAGTTTTGTTCTTCTGCATATGGATATCCAGTTTTCCCAGCACCATTTACTGAAGAGACTGTCCTTTTTCTAATGTATGCCTTTGGCACCTTTGTCGAAAATGAGTTCACTGTAGATATATAGATTTGTTTCTGGGTTCTCTATTCTGTTCCATTGGACTATGTGTCTGTTTTTATGCCAGTGTCATGCTGTGTTGGTTACTATGGCTCTGTAAATCAAGTAATGTGATTCCTCCAGTTTTATTCTTTTTGCTCAGGATAGCTTTGGCTTTTCTGTGCCTTTTGTGGTTTCATGTACATTTTTAGGACTGTCTTTTCTATTTCTGTGAAGAATGTCATTGGTATTTTGATGAGGATTGCATTGAACCTGTAGATTGCTTTGGGTAGTATGGACTTTTTTTTTTTTTTTTTTTTTTTTGAGACGGAGTCTCGCTCTGTCGCCCAGGCTGGAGTGCAGTGGCGCAATCTCGGCTCACTGCAAGCTCCGCCTCCCGGGTTCCTGAGCCATTCTCCTGCCTCAGCCTCCTGAGTAGCTGGAACTACAGGCGCCTGCCACCCCGCCTGGCTAATTTTTTGTATTTTTAGTAGAGACGGGGTTTCACCGTGTTAGCCAGGATGGTCTCAATCTCCTGACCTCGTGATCCACCTGCCTCGGCCTCCCAAAGTGCTGGGATTACAGGCATGAGCCACCGCGCCCGGCCAGTATGGACATTTTAACAGTATTGATTCTTCCAATCCATGTACCTGCAAACCCAGGTTTTAGACTGCCAAACCTAGGTCATTTTCACAAGATTGTGATTTTGTCCTGTAGACAAAATCTGCATTTTTTTGAGAAATGCATAGATCTGAGAATCATTGTAAATTTTTAACTTCAAGAATGGATCTTTTCTTGCTCTTTCCTCCCTCCCTAAAGCCTGCATTTTCTCCACAGGTTCTTGCTCTATCACCCAGGCTGGAGTGCAGTGGTACAATCATGACTCACTGCAGCCTTGACCTCCCAGGCTCAGGTGATCCTCCCACCTCAGCCTCCCAAGTAGCTGGGATTACAGGTGCATGCCACCACACCCAGCTAATTTTTTGTATTTCTTGTAGAGACAGGATTTTGCCATGTTGCCCGGGCTAATCTAAAAGTCTTGGGCTCAAGTGATCCACCCACCTTGGCCTTCCAAAGTGCTGGGATTACAGGTGTGAGCCACTGTGCCTGGCCAAAATACAACCTTATCTAAGTGCTAGGTGTTTTGCTAGGCTCACCCCCATATCTAAGCCTATTCTTAGGCTATTATCCAAGTGGGAGTCTCTGCAAAGTCACCTATCTTCCAGGGCCTTGTTTGCTGCCACCTCCTCCACGAAGCCCTCCTGATCATACCAGACCACATGCCTCATCATGTTTCTCTCTCACACACAGTTTTTGTAGGTAGCATTAACATATAATACTTTCTGTCTTCTTTCTATCCTCTCTACCAGAAGCAACTTCTACTCCAAGGTATGCACTGCTGGCCAGAATCCAGGAATTCTGGCTGTGATGGTCTTGTCCTCATACATCTCAGAGCTGCTAGTTTTGTATTTAGAATCTTCTAACTGTTCATTGACATTTGAAAGCTGTTACTTGTCTTTCTTTAGGAAGTCCCCTTGGGCACCCAGCTCACAATCTTCTCCAGCTAAATCTGGATGCAGCCTGTGATTTCAACCCCCTTTGGAGGTCCTGTCCATAATACTTCATCTTCCTCATTTCCAGGAACTGCCAACCCTCCACTATAATCCTGTGGCCTCACCTTGGAGCTTATCGTTGGAAACTCTTTCACAACCATAGGTCTCAAGTCCCAGATCCCACTCTTGGGGCATAATGGCCATTACTTCATTTATTTTCATTCCCTAATAAACAGATTTTCTCTTCAATTTCTTCAAAACCTTGGTTCCCTTGATTCCTCCACTGTCTATAACATCTTAGCTTCCTTCTAGTCATATTTCCTCAAGTACCTGGATCCTTTGTCCTCCCATCAAACCCACCCTACAACTTCAATATGGATATTCCATCAGACTGCTGAGGGATGCTGTGTAACCACAACTGTGCAGACTAAGCCAGTTTAAGCTTGTGGCAACCATTCTTAGTTGGGCCCTTAATTAGGCCAGGCAACCTTTTAAATGTTCTTGATCAGCTTCCTCTCTCATTTTTCTCAACAGCTTTTGGAGGCCTTCATCACTTTTTCCCAACTCTTTACCAAATTCCCACTCTGCTTGTCCAGCAGACACCTGATCTTCCCTTCAGAGCAAACAGGCCATCATGGCACCCTCCCTTACTTTATTGGCCCACTCTGTAAGCTCCCTTCATCCTCATTTCCTTCCAGTCTCCAATGAAAAGCTGTCCCTCTGCTCTAAGTTAGCCCAACCATCTGCTCACCTGATCCCATCCAGCCCTAGAAAGCACACACTCAACTTTGCTTCTCTATCCCTCTCCTCTTTACTGCCAAGCATCTAGGAAAATTAACTTACATATGCGTTCCATGCTTGTCTCCTCCCTCTTGTTCTTAAAGTCACCTCTGTGCAAGGTCTGTTCCCATCACTCGTTGAAAAGTCCTCAGCAAATGTCAGCCATGACCTTTGTATACAGTGTGCTCTTCATTTCCCTTCTTTCCTGGCCTTTCCATAACATTTTCGACATTGCGAATCCTGCTCTCCCACACTCTGCTGATTCTTCCACTTCTCTCATTTTCCCTTCTCAGTTCACACCACTGGCTTCTTTTTCTTTGCTGTGTTCATAAATAGTGTTTCACTAGGATTCTATCCTGAGCCCTTTTCTCTTCTTACCTTTCCTGGCCAACTGTTTCTACTGACATGGATTTTACTATATTGAACCATGACTAAATTGTTATTTTCAGCCTAGACTTTTTGCCAAGCTCCAGGCACCTATATATTCAAAAATCCACCCAAAGTTTCACTTGAATGTCTAAAACAGGAATTCATTTTCTTCTTTAATTTATTTCTTCAGTTCCTATCTCAAAAATGATTATGATTATGGTGATAATATTTACTAATTCCTTACTATGTGCCAGGCACTGTTCTAATCACTTTATGGATATTGACTTTAGTTGTCACAGGAATACTATAAGGTAGGTATTATTCTCACTTTACAAGAGAGGAAATAAACACAAACTTAGTATTTCAGTGAGTGACATTGTCCTTCACCTGAATACCCAGTTCAGAGACCCAAAAAGAATCTAGATTTTTCTTCCTCCTTCTTTATGTTTAATCCAGCATCAAATCTCTTTGACTCTTCCATTTGAGTTTCTCTGGCTTGATTCCATCTTCTCTATTTATTGTTCTCCAGAATCTGTGCCCTTGCCTTAATTCAGGCCCTCATCATTGCTCAACAGATTCTTAAAATAGTGTCCTAACTGATCTTCACACCTTCAATCTTAGCTCTCTGCACCCCCAATACAATCATTCCCCACTCTCTTCCAGAGTGGTCTTTCTGCAGTGCAAACTTGATCCCAGTACTGTGCTACATAAAGTCTTTCTGTGGCTCCCCTCACCTACCTCATAGCTCTGTCTGCACGGCACTCAAGACACCCACGTACCCTCATCTGCTGCCCACTGCATGGCATTTCAGCTTCATCTCCTACGCTTCCCTACTTTCACTTCAGATATTCCATATACCTCCCTGAATGCCAAGTGCAAAAACTTTACTTACGCACTTTTCTCTGCCTGGAATATCCCCTACCATTTCTTTGAACTATTCATACTTCAACAGTGCTGTCTTACATGACAGCCATTAGCCATATGTGGCTACAAGCACTTGTCGTTAATCTGAATTAAGGTGTGTCGTGTTGTTAAGTGGAAACATGGAATTTTGAGACATAGTATGAAAAAAGTATAAAATGTATCAATAATTTTATACTGATTTTACATTGAAAAGATAATATTTTGGATACATTGAGTTAAATAAAATATATTATTAAAGTTTTTTTCTGTTTCTACCTTTTTAATGTGGCTACATTACAATTACACATGTGGCTTGAATTTGAGGCTCATGATATATTTTAATTAAACAACAATCTTTCAAAATCCTTACCCAGTAAACTTAACCAATGAGGCAAAATAACTGTACACTGAAAACTACAAAATGCTGCTGAGAAATTAAGGAAGACATAAATAAGTGAAAAGACATGCCATGTTCATGGATTGGAAGACTTAATATCATTAACATGAAAATACTAATTAAAGTTATATACAGGTTTACTGCAATCCCTATCAAAATCTCAATATCATTTTTGGCAGACCTAAAAAGATCCTAAAACTGGTATGGAATCTCAGTAAGCCCTGAATAGCCAAAACAATCTTGAAAAAAAAAAAAAAAAAAAGAGAACAAAGTTGGAGGTCTCAAACTTCCTGATTTCAAAACTTCCTGATTTCAAAGCTACAATAATTCAAACAATGTGGTACTGGCATAAAGACAGACATACAGACCAATGGAGTGAAATAGCCGAAAAAAAAAAAAAAACTCTCATATATACGGTCAACTGATCTTCAACAGGGGAGCCAAGACCATTCAATGGGGAAAGGATAGTTTCTTCAACAAATGGTGCTAGGAAGACTGGATATCTACACATAAAAGAATGAAACTGGGCATTTATCTTCTACAATACACAAAAATTAACTCGAAGTATATTAAAGACCTAAATGTAAGTTTTATAGCTAAAACTATAAAACTCTTAAAAGAAAATATAGAGGAAAAGCTTCATGACACTGGATTTGGCAATGATTTATTGGATACGACACCAAAAGCACAAGCACAGACAATATAAGTAAAAATAGATAAACTGGACTACATCAAAATTTAAAATGTCAGTGCATCAAAGAACACAATCAACAGAGTGAAAAAGGAAACCTACAGAATGGAAGAAAATATTTGCAAGTCATATATCTGATAGGTTAATATTCAGAATATGTAAAGAACTCCTACAACTCAACAACCACAACAACAAAAACCTTATTTAAAAATAGAGGACTTGAATAGATCTTTCTCCAAAGAGGGTATACAAATGACCAACAAGCACTTGAAAAGATGCTCAATATCACTAATTATTAAGGGAGGGCAATAAAAACTACCATGAGATATCACTCCTTACCCACTAGGATGGCTATTATCTAAAAAACAGAAAAAGTATCAGTGGGGATTTGGAGAAATTGGAACCGCTGGGCACTGTTGTTGGAAATATGAAATGGTGCAGCCACTATGGAAAACAGTATGACAGTTCCTCAAAAAATTAAACATAGAATTACCATAAGATCCAGCAATACCACTTCTGGATATACATATATATACCGAAAAGAATTGAAAGCAGGTCCTGAAGAGATCTTTGTACACCCATGTTCCCAGCAACATTATTTCCAGTAGCCAAAAGGTGGCGCAACCCAAATGTCCACTGTTAGATAGATGAATGGATAAACAAAATTCATATCCATACAATAGAATATTATTCAGTCTTAAAAGGAAGGGAATTCTAACACATACAACCTGGATGAGCTTTGAAAACATTCTAAGTGAAATAAGCCAGTCACAGAAAGACAAATCCTCTATTATTTCACTTATATGATGTATCTAGAGTAGTCAAACTAATTGAAACAAAGTAGCACAGTGGTTGCCAGCATCTGGATGGAGATTGAAAGGGGAGTTTAATGAGCATAAAGTTTCAGTTTTGCAAAATGATAAAGTTCTGCAGATCGGTTGCACAGTAATGTGCATATATAGTTAACACTACTGAACTGTACATTTAAAAACGGTTACAGTGGTAAATTTTGTTACATACATTTTATGTTACATGTATTTTACCACAATTAAATATTTTTTAAAAATCCTTCCCCAGGTATCACTCCCCCTCCTCCCTGCTTCTGTGTGAATTAACAACTCCCTCCTTTGCACCTCTACATTATCTTGCGTATACCACCATTATGGCTCTTATTACATTTTTGGTAATTACGTGTTTGACAGGATAAGGGTTACTGTCCCATTTGCCCCATCCTGGGACAGGTGAATACTTATCCACTCCTGGGGTCCTGACTAGAAGCTAGGAAAATATACTAGGGTCTTTGGCAAGACAGAGAAAAGAGGCAGTGACCCCTATGGCATAATTGGCTAAAGAGGACCGTCGTTATCAGCAAGAATATATCTTGGATCTTGTAGATGTTTCACTCTGAGGCTGGACCTGGAAGGACCATTTTTCTTCAACAATCCTTTTATAGGCAGGCTCTGACAAACCTAAGTAACACTTCTTTCCTCCCTCAACACACAAAAACATCTTCTCCATTATGAGGACAGCCAGCTGAAATGACTGGTCATACCTGGTCTGACCCACAGGAGGGAAAAGAGAAAGATGTTCATTCAAGATGGATTCAAGGGCCGGGCACAGTGGCTCACGCCTGCAATCCCACCACTTTGGGAGGCCAAGGCTGGCGGATCACAAGGTCAGGAGATCGAGACCATCCTGGCTAACGCAGTGAAACCCCCGTCTCTACTAAAAATACAAAAAAAAAAAAAAAAAAAAAAATAGCCGGGCGTGGTGGCGGGCACCTGTAGTCCCAGCTACTCGGGAGGCTGAGGCAGGAGAATGGCGTGAACCCGGGAGGCAGATCTTGCAGTGAGCCGAGATCAGGCCTCTGCACACCAGCCTGGGCAACAGAGCGAGACTCCGTCTCAAAAACAAAAACAAACAAACAAACAAAAGATGGATTCAAGATAGAACAGCTGACCTAATAAGGTTCTCAGGGGGGACAATAAGGAACTATTTTTGCTTCCCTTAGACTCCTTGTATGTAAGTTTGATACCTAATTAAATTTTTTTTTCCGATAATGGACTGTAACTTTCTGCCCTTCCAAGGTCATAGTCAAGAGGTTACATTTGTTTGCTCCATCTTTGCTTCTAGATGGGAGCTCCTTTAGGGGCGGGACCAGACTTTATTCATCCTTGGATCCCCTGTGCCCACTGGTCCTGGCACATAGCAGATGCCCAATAAATGCCAAATAAATGACTGAATGTTTAGAATGAGGGTCTTTACAGCATTGAGCCTTTCCAATAACCCGGAGAGAGGCTTTTGGCCGAGCAACTAGTCTACCCCAGAGAGAAAGGACAGTCTGAACTAGAGAGCCACAGGGAGTAGGAAGGTCTGCTGGGTATGGGGAGCAGAGGGAGCATGAGAAGAAAACGTGGTTCATTACATAGCCCAGGTTGAACAGACAGATGAAAATCGCACCCTCCAGCTTCATGTTCCACTGTCTGACTGGTCATTATATAGGGCCGACATTTATCTGGTCTCCAGGCAAATTCTATAATTTCAGCTCCGTCTGAAGCAACACAGTAACACTGACTCAGTGGCCTAGATTCCACAAGTGCCACATACCTTGCTTTAGCTTAAATCAGGCATTGTTTTGTCTGGCTGCTAGGACTGGCTCAGGTCTGCTAACAATAAGATGCTTATGCATGGCCCTTTCATGCAGTCAGTCTTTTAAATTTTTTTGCCTCTCTTGAAATCCTGGAAATGATTCCTAACAACGGTTAATCTAAAAATCAGCTGGTTTTGGTCAATATAATGGCGCCCCTTCGAACTCACATTCATGGAATATGGAAGCTGGAAGGAAGAGTAGAAACTAGTTCTGCTTCTCAGGTAAGGAAATCCGTGCCCAGAGAGTTGGGCTGGGTTCCAGCCAGTTAAAACTAGAACTCAGAGATGCTGTCCCGAGCCCTTTTACTTCTGCTGCCTGCCCGCAATTGCGGTCACACCTGCTTCAGACACTTCCAGCTCAATCCTCCCTCCATTTTCTGTGCAACTAGGGTCCTCTCTGGAGAGCTCTTAAGCCATCAGCTCTAGGAGAGAAGTGGGCAGACACAAATCTTTCACAGGTTAATTTTCCTTGGAACATTCTGGGTGATTTTTTTGTAAAGCCCGATTCTCAATGGTGTTGATTTCAGGGTAGTGTTCCTCACTGAGAGCTAAGGAGGCGTTGCAGAAGTGCGCTGATTAGCTAGAATTGACCATAAACAGAGTGGCGCGGCGGATGGGCAAAGGGTGGGCAGCGAACTGGCCCAAATCATCTGTGCATCACCTCACAAGCACCAACTGAGCACTTACTGTGTGCCTGGGTAATCCACAGCTGCCTAATTAAGAACGAGCAGCTGCCTTCCAACCCTCCCCTGGCCCGAGGAGCCCTACTAACTGGCAGATTGAGGGACTTCTGATTCTCATCGTGGGTCTGGCCTTAACTAGGGTCGCGACTCCAAGCAAGTATTTAAAATTCTCCAACCCAGGTGGCCTGAGGCTTGAGAAGAAATAAAAGGCTTCTCAAAGGGATGACAGTTTCGGGAAGTTTTTTTTTGGGGGGGGGACTGGAAAAATACCATAAAAGGCATTTTGGGGGTCACACACACACAAGAGCAGAAGCGCTGTGAGCCGCCCTGCAGGCTCCCTGCCCCGGGAGCCACCTTCCACCCGCCCCCGGGCGGAGGCGGCCAACTCCCGCCCAGCGGGCTCCCCAGTTCGGCCCCGAAAAGCCGAAAGGGGGGCGCCTTTGTCTATAAGCGCCGCACGGGCGCTCCTGATTGGCTGTAGCTAAGCAGGGCTTTCTTCCGCGCTCCTTCGGAGCGCTCCCTCCAGCGTCGCCGGCCCCGTTCCATTTTCACAGCTCCTCCTCCCCGGCCGCGCGCCCCTCCCGCCCCGCGCGCGCCTCCTCTTTCTCGCGGCCGAGTTCAGCCCGGGCAGCCATATGGGGGATACGCCAGCAACAGACGCCGGCCGCCAAGATCTGCATCCCTAGGCCACGCTAAGACCCTGGGGAAGAGCGCAGGAGCCCGGGAGAAGGGCTGGAAGGAGGGGACTGGACGTGCGGAGAATTCCCCCCTAAAAGGCAGAAGCCCCCGCCCCCACCCTCGAGCTCCGCTCGGGCAGAGCGCCTGCCTGCCTGCCGCTGCTGCGGGCGCCCACCTCGCCCAGCCATGCCAGGCCCGGCCACCGACGCGGGGAAGATCCCTTTCTGCGACGCCAAGGAAGAAATCCGTGCCGGGCTCGAAAGCTCTGAGGGCGGCGGCGGCCCGGAGAGGCCAGGCGCGCGCGGGCAGCGGCAGAACATCGTCTGGAGGAATGTCGTCCTGATGAGCTTGCTCCACTTGGGGGCCGTGTACTCCCTGGTGCTCATCCCCAAAGCCAAGCCACTCACTCTGCTCTGGGGTAAGTCCCGCCGGCGCCCCCTGCGCCCCGGCCTCCGTGGCCAGGCCGCGCTGGGGCGCGCGAGGTCGCCGCTCGCCCCTCGGCTGCGGGCGGTGCGCAGCGACCCCCGGTCTCCCCTCGCCTCCCGCTGCGCGCCGCGGCCCCCTTGGCATCCAGTTTTCCGTCCCTTGGGACGGGCAGGTGTTTCTGTCCCAGTATTTCAACTTCCGCCCCCCCCCCGCCCCCACCCCGCCGCGGTCTGCCTGAGGAAGCGCATTTGCCGGCTTCCCGATGGAGAGCCGGGGGGGACCCGGAGTCCTGCGGTGCCACCGCTGTGCGCAGAGGCGCGCGAAGGGAGAGGCTCGGCACAGGCTGAATCGGCTCCCAGCGAGGGAGGACGGGCGGGCGATTGTGTCACCTCTGCGGTCCCTGGGGCTCTCCTATCCCCCCCATCACCTCCGCGGGTCACGGACCTTGGGGACAGAGATGAGGACAAGTAAGGGAGTTGGACCGGGGAGGAGAGACCCGGCACAGGATAGAGTCTTGGTTTACGCGCACCAGATGGAAGATACCGGTTCCCCTCTTGCCTCTCCAAGGCCCCTGTCCCTGCCCCCTCCGCAATCTTCTATGCCCATTTGCAGTTCTCGGTGAAGTTTCTCGGTGAGCAAACCGATCCCATGGCGAGAGCGGTCTGACCCTAGCACGAAGCTCCGACTGTGGCTGTGCAGAGCCTTCTCCAAACCCTGTTCCCATGTGGCCAGTGGGAACCTGTGGCTCTCCTGGTACCCTCCTTCCGTGCACCCCCACTCCTGCCAGTAGGGAAGGGAGCCCGGGCGCCGACCACCATTCCCCTTCCCCTGGGCCCCAGGGACTGCGTGCCCACCCTACACGACCCCAGTCGTTGATCTTTGAACCACTTCGCAGCCGCCCTGGCCGCAATAACTGGTTTTGGCCTCCTTTACTGAAGCGGCAGTAGCCAGGACAAAAGGCACAGGCATTGATATGCTGAGTGAGAATTTGACGAGGTAATCCAAGATGCCCTTCCAGCTCCCGTTTCCCTGATCTCTAGGGGCGGGCAGGAGAAACACAACCTACTTTTATTTCCAGAGGGGAAGAGGAAGGAAGAAAATAAGACCTCTTTCTACAGGGCTTTTTTGGCATGGTGCCAGCTGCAAATGCCTAGGTAGATAATGGGGCCACTATGGTTCCAAGCCTTCCCTTGAAATCCTGCAGTCCCTGCTCTTGGAAGTAAACCCATCCAGAAGTGGGTACCTCTTAGGGGGTGTGGCTCAGGGAGGGCATAGCAGAGTTGACGGATGGTGAGAGAGGTAGGATCTTTGGGGATCCCTAAAGCCTTTAAAGTCTCCCCAAAGCTCTGGGAAATCTCCTGCTTCATCTTTCCTTCTCTCAGTGCACCTCCTCATTTCTGTGTCCTTTTCACCATCACCTTTATGTGTTGGTTTAATTCTCCAACTGACTGTAGACTGTATGATGTTCAGCTGTTGCTTCATCAACACACTCCGACACTGCCAACCAAAGCCCTTATTGCCCAGAGTTCTCCAACAAGCTCCTCTCTCCCCCCTGCTTCCAGAGGCAGGGCTGGGCTTGGTCCTCAGAGCCTGGTGACCTCTAGGGGATTGAGGCTTATCTTTAATAGCTGTGGTGTTCAGAGAGTGCTCAGGGAAAAGTGAGCACTTAAAATATTATCTTACATGCCTAGGGCTCACTGGCTCCACTTCTTACAGCCTCTGAGCCCCAAGACCCTGGCACTGGACCAGGAGCCACAAGGACAAGGCCCCTCTCTCCAAGTTTGCCAGGTCACCTCTGCCCTTTCCGGACCGCTCTCTGTGGTGAAGATAGAACCTTTGTTCTGAAAGATCTTGGCTTAGAGGACACCTCCCAGGCCCCAGTGTCCTCTAGCTTCCTTAGAGAAGTTAACACACTGAAGGAATCTGGTTTCCCCTTTGTGACTCATGTCCCAAACCCCATTCCATACCTTCCTGGATAAATTCTGCCTGTGCTTCATCTGCTATTTCCTAAGTCTTTTTTTTTTTTTTGAGACAGAGTCTCGCTCTGTCGCCCAGGCTGGAGTGCAGTGGTGCGATCTCGGCTCACCGCAAGCTCCGCCTCCTGGGTTCACACCATTCTCCTGCTTCAGCCTCCCAAGTAGTTGGGATTACAGGTGCCCGCCACCACGCCCGGCTAATTTTTTGTATTTTTAGTAGAGATGGGGTTTCACCGTGTTAGCCAGGATGGTCTCAATCTCCTGACCTCGTGATCCACCCACCTCAGCCTCCTAAACTGCTGGAATTACAGGCGTGAGCCACTGCGCCCGGCCCGTAAGTCTTAATTCTCTCCCCACCTTCATTGCCTCCCTAAAAAAAAAAATAGCAGACAATGGTAGATATTAGAGTTTTAAGGTCCAAAATTGTGACTTAGAAACAGTCCAAACAATGGGTCTTATCTGATGAATAGCTACTGCCTCTGCTGCTTTTTTTTTTTTTTTTTTTTTTTTTTGTGAGACAGGGTCTTGCTGGAGTGCAGTGGCACGATCATAGCTCACTGCAGTCTCAGTCTCCTGGGCTCAAGCAATGCTCCCACCGCAGCCTCCCAAGTAGCTGGGACTACAGGTGTGCACCACCACACCTGGCTATTTTCTTTTTCATTTTTTTGTAGAGATGGGGGTCTCACCATGTTGCCCAGGCCGGTCTTGAATTCCTGGGCTCAAGCAGTCCTCCCAAAGTACTGGGATTACAGGCGTGAGCCACTGTACCCAGTCTCATGAATAGCTTTTGAGGGAAGAAATGAGGGACAATCAGAGACCAGCTAAGATCAGCTGTGCTGATGGCTAGGCTACATAGTAAGCAGAGGGACGAGGCAGACCACTGACTCAGGGTTATTTTCAGTGAAAGCCCTGGTGCCTTGATCCACAAATTTCCCCCCACTGAAGGCCCTTTTTCACCACCTCCCTACTGGTTATGTGTAGCATTAGGGCCAAGTTCATGCCCCAGTGGGCTGCTCATGCACTTCAAGGACCTGACTTGTAGAGGAAATAGGCTTAGCCTGTCCATTGCTTGCCACCCTCCACACCAGATGAGGTTGTGCTGGAAACAAGAGGCATCTATGCAGTGCACCCAGCAGGGGATGTGTTGGATGTGCAGTGTGCAGAGAGTAATTTGTGTGGTGGTAAAATGTCATCCGTGAAAGAGCCATCAAATTGTTAGTTCATCAAGTTGTTAGTTCTCCTTGGGGCCAGAGCATGTTGTTTTCCCTTTTTATCCTTTTCGTTTTATGAGTGGGCAGGCTGTCAGGACAGAATGCTCTTGGTGCCCCCAGGTCCTCAGCAATGCGTTCATGACTTTCAAGGACAGAAAGCGGCCGGGCATGGTGGCTCACGCCTATAATCCCAGCAGTTTGGGAGGCCGAGGCGGGCTGATCACAAGGTCAGGAGATCGAGACCATCCTCGCTAACACGGTGAAACCCCATCTCTACTAAAAAAAATACAAAAATTAGCCGGGCGTGGTGGTGGGCACCTGTAGTCCCAGCTACTCGGGAGGCTGAGGCAGGAGAATGGCGTGAACCTGGGAGGTGGAGCTTGCAGGGAGCCGAGATTGCGCCACTGCACTCCAGCCTAGGCGACAGAGTGAGACTCCG
Source organism: Homo sapiens (assembly GCF_000001405.40). Taxonomy (NCBI): domain Eukaryota; kingdom Metazoa; phylum Chordata; class Mammalia; order Primates; family Hominidae; genus Homo; species Homo sapiens. The sequence continues at coordinate 82,794,671 of NC_000004.12, read as the reverse complement.
TCTCAAAAAAAAAAAAAAAAATGGACAGAATGCAAACTCCAACTAGAGGAAAAACCTGCATCTGAAGGCTTGAGCTCACAAAAATGCCTGCTTGAGAGTTTCTGGCCAAAGGGACAGTTAGTCAATGCCCTGAATCCCAAGATGGGTAGAGCAGGGAGTGAGGCCTTGCAGTTACTGTGTGGACGTGTGAGTCCTGGGGCTGCTTCCCAGCGGAGCCTCCCCTGATGGCCTCCAGACATCTGGCTGTTGGCTCCCAGAAACATCAAGGCCTTTTCTGTTTTTTCCCTAAATGTCATCCGAGTCCCCTAAATGTGTCCCATAGTGACATCATGACTCTTTTCCTCATGAGATAACTTCAGTGACAGCACCAGGCATGCAAAGCAGTAATTTTCCCTGTTTCCTTTGATAGATCAGCCATCCTTCTATCCTGTCTTGGCGCAAACGTGACCATTGTTAAGGCAGATATAGCGTTCTCTGGTGCCCTGCTGGGTTCTTGGAGCATCTGTACCATCCTGAGTGGGATTCAGCATATGGCAAGGAAACTGAGAAGTGGTGGAGATTAACAAGGCAGTGTGGGGTGATGGGATGGTCAGTAGAAGCTGGGGCTTGGAAGGCACTGGTCCACCAGTCACATTCTGAAATTTGCCCAAAGATGAGCTGTCTTCCGTTGGGCATCGGGTAGTCTGTACCTGGTCCTGATGTCTTCATTGGGTTGTGCTTCTTTTCCATCAAGTCCCTCAGGTTGTTGAGGACCCCCAAGAATGCATGGTCATGGACTTCTGTCTTGCCCCAAGGTTTTCTAGAGTAAGCAAGGCTCAGTAGACAGGCAGATCTGAATGTGAATCCCTGCTCTTCTACTTACTTACCAGCTGAATGGCCTTGGACAAATTTACATCTCTGAAGCAGTTTTCTCACCTTTAAAATGGATATATTAATACTGTTTGTTCCTAAAGTTGTGAGAATCAAATTAGATGATATGTGTAAATCACTGAGCACAGTGCCTGGCTCTTGGTTGGTGTTAATTATTCACTGTCATTATTATTGGTCCTAATACTGGCCCCTTTTCTTTAGCAGAAGAAAAAAAAGTCTTCCGGCAGCGCAATAAATTCCACAAAGATGGCACAGAACTTGGCTTCACAGCCTCTCTTGCATAGAAAAGATAGATTTGGCTTTGGAAATAAGGGCTCTTTCTCAACGTTCCAAAGAGAGATGAACACAAATCCCTTCTGTGCTTCCTCCCTCCTTCATGCCCTTCTCTTTCATTCCATCTTCCTCCTGTTTTCCTCCAAAAGATCATTGTTTTGTAGCTGGGATCTTTTTGTTCAGCTGACAACTCAGCTGGTCTTGAGCGTTTTCTTTGGGATTTTTGAGCACAGCCAGTTACAATTGCTACAGAAACAGGGCCACATCATTTCTTTGAATCTCTTAGAGTCTCAGTTTTGACTTTTCTCCCTCCCTCTTCCTTTGACTCATCATTTAAAAAACTTTAATGCTCAATTAAACTACTAAAAATCTAAGAAAAGTGAATGACTCTTCCTTTCAAACGTTGTAATTCCAAGCCCATTGTTGTTACAACTCTTGCATTTTTAACAAATGGGCAAGCATTAAGAGCCTTACCCAAGCCTGGATTGCAGCTAGACCCGAAAGAATAGAGTGTGCTTTTGCTGGCTCTAATAGTCCCAACAAGTATGAACATAGATTGAGGTTAACATTATTAACTCAATTTTAAAACAAACAAACTGATCAAGGTCACTGCAGACGGCACTGTGACCATGAAATGAGAAAGAGAGCTGCAGAGTAGAAACCAGTGCGAATCCTGACATTGCTAATTAGTTCAACTTCAGACTCGTTTCTTTACAGTTTGTGAGCCTCAGTTTCCTCATCTGTAAAGTGGATACAATAATCTTGAGCAGACAGTTATTTGAGAATTTGGGCATATGTATTTTCTTTGAGACAAGATCTTGCTCTGTCACTTGGGTTGGAGTGCAGCAGTGCCATCATGGCTCACTGCAGCCTCAACCTCCTGGGTTCAAAGTGATCCTCCCACCTCAGCCTCCCAAGTAGCCAGGGCTAGAGATGTGTGCCACTGCACCCAGCTGTTTTTTGTTTGTTGGTTGGTTTTTTGTAGAGATGGGGGTCTCACTATGTTGCCAGGGCTGGTCTTGAACTCTTGGGATCCAGCGATCCTCCTGCCTTGGCCTCCCAAAGTGCTGGGATTACAGGCATGAGCCACGGTGCCTGGATAGGGCATATGCTAAAGGACTTGCTAAAGAGTAGACACTCAATGCTATCTACTATTATTACCTCCCAAGGTAGGGGCCTGGTCATGAAACCTGCACTGGCTTACTGGTCTGTCTCCGACTTGGAGTACTTGTGACTCAAATGTAAGGCACAGCTTTTTTTTTTTCTAGATGGAGTTTTGTTCTTGTTACCCAGGCTGGAGTGCAAGTGCAGTGGTGCGATCTCAGCTCACTGTAACCTCTGCCTCCTGGGTTCAAGCGATTCTCCTGCCTCAGCCTTCCCAGTAGCTGGGATTACAGGCATGCACTGCCATGCCTGGCCAATTTTGTATTTTTAGTAGAGACAGGGTTTCTTCATGTTGGTCAGGCTGGTCTCAAACTCCCGACCTCAGGTGATCCGCCCTCCTCGGCCTCCCAAAGTGCTGGGATTATAGGTGTCAGCCAGCGTGCCCGGCCAGGCACAGCTTTTAAATCCAAATATTTAGTCATGACCTTGCTATAATATTTTAGTTTTCCTCACCTAGTTTTGTGTGTGGCATAAAATTATAATAGTTGCTTGGAAAAAGTCAGTGATTTGCAAAAGGGTGACACAGCCATGGTTTTGTTGTTGTTGTTGTTGTTGTTTTAAGGATCTATAAAAGTGTCTTTGAGTAGCATTTTTTTTTCATTGAACATTTATTTTGAAATTCTGTAGTCTCTGGAACACAGTCTACCCATTCCTCTGTCCCATGTTTCTTTGGAAGTGCCACAACCTTGGGTGTAACAAGAGTACAACCAGCATTAGGCTGTACCTGGAATCAAATGAATGCAGTAAGGAGCTTGCCTGGAAGCCAGCACAGAGTAAATGTTAGCCTTCCTTTTCCATCCACACGTTTCCTTAGTGTTTCACTTCGCTCATTCCCTCTGTTCAGCTCCTCCTTTGGAGAGCGAGACACTCTAGCCAGCCCGCTGGATAAAGAAAGCCCCATGGTTATCAGGAAGCCCTGGTCCTGGGTAAAGGCAGTTTTTTTTTTTTTCCAATTTTATTTCCCCTGGCAATGGATTGGTGGCCACAACAACAGGTACCTGTTGTGAGCTGTTTTCCCTCACAAATGCCCATTGTTTGTTCATTACATGTGTGAATGGCCATGAGAGAGATCCTCACAGTAGTGCATGCAGGCACATATTCATTCATCCACTAATCTTTTTTTTTTTGAGATGGAGTCTTGCTCTGTCTCCTAGGCTGGAGTGCAGTGGCACGATCTCGGGTCACTGCAACCTCCATCTCCCGGGTTCAAGCGATTCTCCTGCCTCAGCCTCCTGAGTAGCTGGGACTACAGGTGCATGCCACCACGCCCGGCTAATTTTTTTATTTTTAGTAGAGATGGGGTTTCACCGTGTTGGCCAGGATGGTCTCAGTCTCCTGACCTCATGATCCACCCACCTTGGCCTCCCAAAGTGCTGGGATTACAGGCATGAGCCACCACACCCAGCCCAAGAATCATTTTTTAAGTTCCAATGATTGTCAGAAATGGTGGCACATCAGAATCACTTGGGTGGTGATTAAAATTGTCAGAAGCCTGGGCCTTTCTTTACCTAGGCCTGATGAATTGGAATGTCTAAAAGAGATGCCCTGGCTTTTTTTTTTCTTTATTTTATGCTATTCAGGTGTTTCTAATGCACAGCGGGCTGAGAACCATTATTCAGTTTCCTTATTCAACAATATTTATTACTTACTCATTACCTGCCAAGCGCTGGCACCATCCTTGACTTCATTGCACTTACAGGCCAGTTGGAGAAATAGGTGCACAGGTGACACCCCTCAAGACACCATCCATTCTCAAGTGCCATGGGACCGAGAATCAGTGCCAGCTTAGGGGGAATTGGGAGGCTCCCCAAAGGTAGGAGCCAAGTGGAGCATGGCAGGAGGTGCAGGGCTGGTCGTGGAGAGGCTGGGTGAGCTGGCATCACAACCTGAGCAAAGGTCCTGAGAAAGAGAGACAGGGCAGGGCAGCTCAAGAACTCAATTGTTCAGCGTGGCTGGTGAGTAGAGTGGAGAGAGAGGAACATAACGTGGAGAGGGAGACGTGCTGGAGGTCTCTGCTCAGTGGTGAAAAGATTTAGCAGACCTCATCTGGTTTGTGGAAAGAGAGGCTGCCCAGGGCTCCCTGCAGCCTTCCCACTGGCTCTCACCTCCTCCTCTCAGCCCGTCGCACATAACAATGATTTCTAGTGTGGAGGAACAGTCTCAAGCCCAATTTCTAGACCAGCACTTGTCGGTGGGATGTGTGAAGTTATTCAGGAAAGACACTGGGACAAACATCTCATTGGGTGCCAGTGTCCCTGACTCTTTAGTGGGCTTGAAGTGGGGCTGAGTGCCTGCCTCAGGCTGCATGGAGCTGAGGGGAGGCTTGGAATAAAGTCTCAGTTGGGCATTTGATTTCACAGACTCAGACTCAGTCCTGGGGGAAAAATTACTAACAAACAAATACACTAACAACAACAACAACAAAAAACCCCTAAGGCTATCACAAACTCAGACCAAACCCAGAGCCTGTCCTCCTTCCCCTTCCTTCCTTTGACCTGTACTCTTTCCACTGCTTCTAAAAGGTACATGTGTGGAGAGGGGGTTGTTCCCATTCCCCCTCATTCTTTCTTTAGCAGCTGATTCCCACGAGCCCACATTCCAGGGAAGATGGATCTGCCCTCCTTCATATCTCGCTGCCCATTTTTGCAGGTGTTGGGGCTACTGCAGGGCCTGCTGCTTACTAGAAAGGTTGGAGGGCTCTGTGGGTCCTGGCAGGCTGCAGGTTTCTCTCTGGAGACATTCCAGAGCTTTAGAACAAACATGCAGACAGTCTTACAGCTGCAGTTGCCTGAGCCTTAAGGGCCTTGCTACTCAAAGTGTGGTCCTCAGACCGCCAGCATCAGCATCACCTGGGAGCTTGTTAGAGAAAACAAATCTCAGACCTCACCGACCCCACGGAATCACTATCTGCATTTTAACGACATCTCCAGGTGATTCATCTGCACACAAGTTCAACCACAGGCTGACCATTTAGAGAAGCTGGACTTGAGTGGGATTTTGCAGTTTTTCCTTTTGATGGCCTCCTCCCCTTTGCTTCCCCTCCTACCCTTCTGACTCCTTGTAGCTTATTTTAGAACATGTCGGGATCCTGCTTCTCTTGTCAACAAAAGGCTGTTATTAAAATCTTTCAGCCGGCAGCAGCAATGTTTAATTCATGGACTAGAAAATTAATTTTATTTTCATGAATAGAGCTGAGGAAAAATAGCAAGGAGACTCTGTGCATGGCCCTTGGGAATCCAGCTTGTCTATTTAACAGATGAACTGGCAACAGTGGGGAGGCCTGAGGGGAGGGCTGCCTTCTACAAACTTGTGTAGCAAATTGTATTAGGATGCTTTTGGCTGCAGGTATCACAAAATTCAGCTTCAAATGGCTTAAAAGAAAAGGAAAATTTCTAATTTCACTGATAAAAAATCTTGAGATAGGGTACTTTTAGGATGACCCAGAAATGCCATCAAATAGCAGGTTTGTTTTCTGCCATGGTGGCTTGTTGCATTCAGTTTTCCTCATGGTTACAAGGTGGCCGCCAGAGTTCCGGGCAGCACATGGAGTCAATGTCCTATGGAAGGAGAAAGAGGCTGCCCCTCCCTGAAGTTTCATTTTATCAGAGACAAAATCTTTCCTGGTTACCTCACAGCTGATCCTCACAGCTGGTGTCCTCTTAAATCTCACTTGTGGCCAGGTACAATGGCTCATGCCTGTAACCCCACCACTTTGGGAGACTGAGGTGGGTGGATCACTTGAGGCCAGGAGTTCCAGACCAGCCTGGCCAACATAACGAAACCCCTTCTCTACTAAAAATACAAAAATTAGCTGGGAGTGATCGTGAACACTTGTAATCCCAGTTACTCGGGAGGCTAAAGCACGAGAATTGCTTGAACCCAGGAGGCAGAGGTTGCAGTGAGCCGAGATCATGCCGCTGCACTCCAGCCTGGGTGACGGAGCGAGACTGTCATAAAAAAGATTTTAAAAAAAGTCTCACATGTAGGATTGTGTCATGCGTCCCTTGGTAAACCAGTCATTGGGAAGGGGATGGATTACTATGGGTGGCTCAGCCTGATCAGGGTTGGACACTTTCTTCATCTGTTGAGGATACTATAACAGAGTACCACAAACTGGGTGACTTTTAAATGGAAGAGGAAGAAATTTATTTCTGAGTTCTGGAGGCTGGGAAGTCCATGAACAATGCATCGGTAGATTGGCGTCTGGTAAGGACCCACTTCCTTATTCATATATGGTGCCTTCTTTCTGTGTCTTCACATGGCAAAAGGGGTGAAGGGTCTCTTCTCTCTCCAGCCTTTTAAAAAGTATTGATTGATTGATTGATTGTCTGACAGGGTCTTGTTCTGTCTCCTAGGCTGGAGTACAGTGGTGCACTCACAGCTTACTCTAACCACGAACTCCTGAACTCAAGGGATCCTTCTACCCCAGCCTCCCAAGTAGCTAGGACTACAGAGGCATGCTACCATACCTGGTTAATTTTTTACGTTATTATTTTTGTAGAGAATGAGGGTCTTTTTATGTTGTCCAGGCTGGTCTCAAACTCCTAGCCTCAAATGATCCTTCCACTTCAGCCTCCCAAAGTGTTGGGCTTACAGGCATGAGTCACTGAGTCTAGCCCACCAGCCTTTTCTTAGTGCCTTAGAGGGCACTAATCCCATTCCTGATGGTTCCATCCTCATGACCTAATTACCTCCCCAAAGCCCCACCTCCTAATACCAACACCTTGAAGGTAAGGATTTCAACATAGGAATTTTGGAGGGAAGACAAACATTCAGACCACAGCAGCCACTGAGTCACATGAGGCAAGGGCAAAAGAGCCAAATGAAACAGAGGCTCTGGCTCGAAGGAAGCGGAGGGCGTGGCTGCTGAGACAGCCAACACCTCTTCCAAGGCCTTCCTTGGTGTTGCCTCCATTCCCTGGAAAGGTCTGGCTCCTGTGTTTTACATTTCAGTGTGCTCTTCCCAGTAGAGCGGTAGGTTACTCTGGGCACAGGGAATTTTTAAACACCCTTGTGGGAGGGTTCCTGGAACTGAATTAAAAGAAAAAAAAAAAAAGGGAAAACCAGTGACTTAGAATGTGTTCTTTACCAAGATTCTCCATGGTGACATACTTTCCCCAGACTGATCGTTTTCTTGGTTGGTCATTTTCCACATCTTTCAAGTGACACAGAATCTCACTGATGAAGTCCTAACAGGATTTCTGTTCTCTTGCCTCAGATTTTGCTTCAAAAGGGAGCATTTATAAGGCCAGTGCATCCTCACTTAACCTCACACAGCAGGTACTTTTTATTTGCACAAACAATCTAGGAACAAAGATCTTGCTTAGGAGGAGGGAGCTAACTGTGTGAAACAAAACAATAGCTTTTGGCCGGAGTGGACGGAAAACCTTATTTTAAAGGGCAGATGTCAGAAAAATGTGTAGAGCGGGACTGTGGCATAGCCATTGTGTAAAACCTTTCAGTCAAACAAGGCATGTACAATGCCTACTTAAGGTAAGTGCTTGATCTACGTTGCTCCTGGTGGCTATTGGGAAGTTTTTGAAGATTGCCTTGTTTTTTTTTTTTTTTTTTTAAGGCAAAGTCTCGCTCTTGTCCCCCAGGCTGGAGTGCAATGGTGTGATCTCGGCTCACTGCAACCTCTGCCTTCTGGGTTCAAGCGATTCTCCTGCCTCAGCCTCCCCAGTAACTGGGACTACAGACATGCACCACCATGCCGAGCTAATTTTTATATTTTTAGTAGTTTCACCATGTTGGCCAGGCTGGTCTCGAACTCCTGAACTCAGGTGATCCGCCCACCTCGGCTTCCCAAAGTGCTGGCATTACAAGCATGAGCCACTGCGCCTGGCCGAAGATTGCCTCTTAAATAGAGAAAAAACATCAAATATCAATGAGCTTGAAAATGAAACAAGACATGAATAGAGTTTAGAAATCAGGTTTAAATTTATTTTCTTCCTATATCACTACCTATTCTATCAAGATTGTCACACACTTGGCTATTTGGGCTGTGTTGGTTTTAGCTTGGTTCTCTGAAGAGACAGTGGCTTACAAATGCAGCCTATGACCTAAATTGGAAAGGCCGTCTCTAATAGCACCCTCCTCCTTAACATCAAAAAGCATTTATTAAGCAAGTAATTAATCACTTACAGCCTGGGCCACCCGTTGTGTAAGAAAACAAAGACCAGGTCTCTACCCTTCTCCCTTTCATAACTGAAAGGAACAGCTGTAATTTCCCCCAGTACCCTAACCAACTTACTATTCTTTAGGCAGGGGTAGATAATGGAAAATATTCTTACTTTCAAACTTCCATGCATGAAGTTAGAAATGAATTTCTTTCTTAAAAAAATGAATTTCTAAAATGTAATTGTCCCGTGGAATAGTTTATCAACCCACCCCTCTAATAGGTTCGTAAGAAGCTTTTGCAGATGGTTACAATAAAGCTCATCTCTGTTCTCAGCCTATGACTCACTTGAGTGTCCCCAGAAACATTTGTTTTGCCCTGGCGTCTCTGTTAGCAAAAGGAGATATTTGTTAGGAAGTGTGAATAATGCCTACATATCTCCCCCTTCCACCTCTCACCCCCACATCCATTGTTTGGCTGTGTAGCAATTGAAGAGTGGGTGAGTCATTAGCATTTTTTAGCTATACTCAAATTACTGTAGACTCTGTAGAGGGAGAAAAAATAATTTTCTCTCCACCCCTTGTCATTTTTAGCAGGGAAAGACCCCCTGCAGCAAAAGACAGACTAGCAAGAGAAAAACAAATCGAAATTTATTGACATATATACCTCAGGTATACATGGGAGGTAACCAGGAAACGAGTAATTCTCAAGGAGGTGACTTTGCATTCAGGCTTACATACGATTTTCAACAAAGAACAGTAAATTTATAAGGAAGTGACAGGACAAACGAAAAGGACTTTGAGTCTGGAGGGAAGGCAAATTGATAAAGGGTGGTTAGTAAGGCTTGTTATGTAGATTCCTTTGATGTCTTAAAGCTGCTAGGGGTCTAACTTTGTCTTGCATGGTCATCCTTTGCTTTTCCTTATAAAGAGGGGAGGAAGACCCTTTTGCCTTTGTAAATCTGTGTCCTGCTTTTAGGCAAATAAGGGGAGGGCAGAGAGCTCTTCTTGTATCTGCTTCTTTTCAATTGCTTTCAGCTCAAAATAATCCTTATGCCAGAGTAGTGTATTTTGGAGCGGCATATTCTGGTTTCCTACAGCATCATCTGGAGCTGGGGGGATGGGGGGTGGTGAGCGAAGCCACTACCCTGTGAGTATAGATGAGATCTGCACTTTACTTGGCAGAGCTCCCATGAGAACTGGAAGAAGTCACAGCTATTAGAGCTAATATTCCCTACAGACAGAGCTGGGCTTCCATTAGTGTGCTCCACTGTGGCTCTACTAGTTGTTAAAATGTTGAAATAGTGAATAGCTGCTGCCTTCCCTGGTACTCCTGGAATCGCCAACAATCCAGGAGCTAAAGGGTTATTGCCTGGCCCAGCTGCAGGGCTTAAATCTGCATCTGTTCTGACTGGTTTTGATTAGCTGGTGCCCTGTGGGTTGTCAGATATTTTTAATATCACCTCTGCATTTGCATCCTCTTCTTACATAATCCGTATAATCTTCAGCTTCTATCCCTTTCACGGTTCTAGTTTAATGAGAACTTAAAAAAAAACAGTCTGTTATTCTGGCTTAAAGTTATGTCCCGAAACCATGTAAAGAAAGGTATTACAGCACTGTCTAAATTCTGGGGCTTTCACTCACTTGTCTGAATAGAAACTCCTTTTGCAGTAGAAGCAATGTGTATCTAAAATGTGATTTTATTTTCTGGTTTACAATTGCTGTTGTATACGATTTCCTCCCCCCAAAAAGAATTGATATTAATTTTATCATCAGAGAAAAATAACACCATAAAGATAAAATTGCGAAGCTATTTCTTTTTGGTGTTAGGGGTTGGGAATATGATGTAGAAGATGGCACTGCAGATTTAGGTGTACTCGTCACTCACAATTCATTTTCCCATGAGGCTGTATATTGTGTCTAGGTTCTCGGGCTAGCCTGGGGTCAGCGTCACTCAAACCATCACCTGAAGCGTTGTATAGGTAATTTTTTTAAATTATAGAAAGTGTGAAACATATACAAAGGTAAAGAGAACTGTTACCGCTGCCTCACATGCACCTGGGGATTTTTTTTCTTTGAAACCATTTTACTGTGATGTGTAATTTCAAGCTCATAGAACAGTTGTTAAGAATAGTATCAGGATCTCCCGTAGACTCTATCCAGATTCGCCAGCTGACATCTTGCCTCATTTGCTTTATCATTTCCTCTGTGTATGTATATACGTTATATACGTGTGTATGTATAGAATCTATATATTTTTTTCTGAACCATTTAAGAATAAATTGGAGACATTCTGTCCTTTTATCTCTAAATATTTTAGTGTATATTTTCTGAGAACAAGAATATAACCACAGCACAGTTATCAAAATCTGGACATTTCTTTCTTTCTTTTAAAAAATCTTTTTCTTTTTTTTAATTTTAATTTTTTTCCTTTTTTTTTTTTTGAGACAGAGTTTCACTCTTGTTGCCCAGGCTGGAGTGCAATGGTGCGATCTCGGCTCACTGCAACCTCCGCCTCCTAGGTTCAAGCGATTCTCCTGCCTCAGCCTGCCAAGTAGCTGGGATTACAGGCATGCGCTGCCACGCCCAGCTAATTTTGTTATTTTCGTAGAGATGGGGTTTCTCCATGTTGGTCAGGCTGGTCTCGACCTCCGACCTCAGGTGATCCGCCCACCTCGGCCTCCCAAAGTGCTGGGATTACAGGTGTGAGCCACCGCGCCTGGCCAATTTTTTTCCTTTTTAAATCTGGCCTTCCTGAGTAAAAAATCTGGAAATTTACTTTTGATATTCTCTACTGCACAGTGGAAAGTCTAATGTCATCAGGCATCTTTGCCATGTCCTCTTTAGCTATTTTTTTCCCCCTTTGGATTAGATTGAAGCAAATTCCAGGCAATTGTATCTGTAAATTACTAAGTATCAAGTATTGGCAGAGGTCATTCTGGCTACATTGTCCATGGAAAACTTTGGGGGCAACCTTTTTCCTACTAACTCTCCCTAGTCCTTGGGAAAAACAGCTGTGAGAGGCTGGAGATGGGTGGAAACAGAGAAGCAGGAGTCAGTCATGAGTGAGTTGTACTGAAGTGCACAGTGTGGTCTATGGCCGTCTGCATCGGAGTCATCTGAGTTGCATGTTGAATATGTAGATTTCAGGGCTCCATCCAGACCTACAGAATTAGTATCTCTGGGGGCCAGACCCAGGAATCTGCATTTTATCAAGTGTTGCTGGTGGTTCTTATAGCCAGGGGGTTGGAGACATTCAGGCCCCGAAGCAGGTGGCCTGGGAGTGATGCTGTGTCCCCATCAGGTGAACATCACCCTTCTCCCACCTCAGTATTGTTGTGTGGCTCTCCTTAGAGTGACTGAAATTCCAGCCCAGATTCCTTAGGGTTGACAACAGGTGCAATTTTAGGCATGTGAATAGCCGTGGGTGTGTTCCCTCCACAGGAATCCACACGTTGGTGTAAAGTGCTTTCAGCACATATTTTCTTCTAACACAGGGCTGACACCTTGAGGGAATGGGAGTTTCACAGGAGCAGGGAGAGTATTAGGACCTGGAATACTTTATAGGGGTGGAGTAACTTGTTTTCTTGGGGGAGGATGGGGGTGGGGATGGGAATAGATACTTGGATTGTCCCTTAGATGTGTGGGGAAAAGCTGTTAGGAAGTAGGAGGTGAAAAAGGACCCTGGAGAAAGCCTCAAATAAGTAGCTTTGGGCACAAACCTTAACCTGCACCTTGGGAGAGGAACAGGAAACCTTCTTTTCTAGGATTGGTGTGAGGACTAAATCAGGGGCAGCAGCTGCTTCCCAGGAAGGACCAGCCCTGCTATGGGAGTAGTTATTACCCCCAGAACCGGACAAGCACACTGATGCTGTCATTCCACTGTATTTCTGGATTTCCGCTGTATTTCAGGATTTCTGCTGTATGTCTGTATTCTAGTAAATTTGTTAATTCTAAATATGGAGGTTCATGGAGCTCTTCTCTAAGGTCCCTTCTTATCTCTGGAGACTTTTATAATCACCTCATTTGGAGAGGAGCAGACACTTCCCTCGATCAGTCATGCCCCTTTTTCAGGCAGGCCGGAGACACAGTGCAGTTCTTCATGGGACTAAATTGTCTTTAGGGGCATCCTAGATTTAGTCTTCTCTGTGACCCAAGATAGGAGGGTCCTTTGTAAGTGTTTCTGAGCCACTGACAAATGGGCGGAAAGACAGCCAGGCTCTAGATGTTAAATGCAACTGAGAGGTGGGGAGGACTTAATCCTCACCTGCATCCTGTCAACAGTGGCCACATGACATAGGTGATTTTGCTCACCCACAGGGTGATGAGGTCTGATGACCACCCTCATCTAGGACAGTAATCTGTCTTAGTCTGTTTTGTGCTGCTATGTCAGAATACTGGGTAACTTCAAATGAACAGAAATTCATTTTCCATAATACTGGAAGGTGGGAAGTCCAAGACTGAGGGGCTGGTATTTGGTGAGGGCCTTCTTGTTGCATCATCCTATTATGCAAGGGCAATGAGAGGGTGAGAGAGAGCAAGAGGGAGCCCACCTCATCCTTTTATAGTTAGTCCACTCCTACAGTAATGGCATTAATTCCTTCATAAGGGTAGTGGCCCAGTAACCCAAACACCTCCCATTAGGCCTGCTTCCCAACACTGTGGCACTGGGAATCAAGTTTCCAACACATGAACTTAGGGAGACACATTCAAACCACAGCATAACCCAAGTGGATATTTCCATTCCTTCTGCTGTTGAATCTTTCCCCTCCCTTCTCTTGGAAAGGAGATGTACTTTCCAAGTCCTTTTTTCTTTCTTTCTTTTTTTTTTTGAGACAGAGTCTCACTCTGTCAGCCAGGCTAGAGTGCAGTGGCGTGATCCCAGCTCACTGCAACCTCTGCCTCCCGGGTTCAAGCTATTCTCCTGCCTCAGCCTCCCTAGTAGCTGGGACTACAGGAGCACGCCGCCACGCCTGACTAATTATTTTGTATTTTAGTAGAGATAGGGTTTCACCATGTTGCCCAGGCTGGTCTCGAACTCCTGAGCTCAGGCAATCTGCCTGCCTCGGCCTCCCAAAGTGCTAGGATTACAGGCATGAGCCACCACGCCCGGCCCTCAAGTCCTTTTTTCTTTTAGTGTGAATGATTCTCAAGCCCTAGCTGGTGCTTGTTTATTTTGAGGCTTCTCCAGCCCTCCTCTGGGGGGCCCTGCTGCGTTTCTCTCCCTTTCAATTATGTGAGTGTGAGGAGGCTGGTGGGGGCCTTCTAGACCTAGCCAGGGCCCACCTCTAACTGTTGGTGTCTTCATAGGGAAGAGGAAATACAAAGCACTGTGAAAGCAAAGCCGCCCCTTGGCCCTGTGCCCGGACCTCCCCTGACGCTGTGGAAGCAGCAGGCCCCGGAGAAGCAGCCGTCCAGGCTGGCCCCCTGGGGCCTCCTGGGGTGGCCAGGTGTTTCTTCAGTCTGAAGGTTGAAGGGAGAGATTTTGGACTCAGATAAATTTTTGCTGAATAGCTGAAGTGCTAATTAATCTCCCAAGTCTCCCTTTGGCCAGGGCCATTTCTGGTGGATATTAATTGGGCTTATGAGACAGATGAAGTATTTTAAGGAGCAAAAGAAGTTCTCCAGGCACTGTTGTGATAATGCTGAATGTGCAAATTGGTGTTTTTAGTCTCTGTTCAGATTTGAGAGCAGTGAGGGAGCCCTTTTTGGGATGTGCTTTTCTGCACCTGCTTGGAGACTGGCAGGCTGAGAGATTTAGGTGTCTGATTAAATTCCATTTTCCACACATTTGTGGACATGGGCCTAGTGTGTGCTAAGTGCTAAGAATACACAGGTAAGCAAGCTATCATTCCTACTCACGAGATCTAGAAGGGGAGATGGACCTAGGCCAGTTATAATGCAGTGTGAGGAATGCCAGCAGAGAAGTAGGCCTGGGGTGCAGGTGTGACTAGAGGAGAGTGGTCAAGGACACCTGCATGGTGGGGGTGACACCAAGTTACCTTTGAATAGGTGAATGGGAGTTCTCCAGGCAGAAACACCAGGGAAAATGCATTCCCAACAGCTGTAACAGCACATGCTAGGCATGGAATGTAGAACTGTGCAAGAAAACTGGCTACAGATGTTCCTAAACATTTATGTGCTTTCTGTGCATCAGGCATGGGCCTAAGTGCTTCCTGTATTATAACTCTTTTAATCCACATAGTAACTCTATGAAGTAATTATAGGGCCACAGTATCCTTGCTGTAGTTAGGAACAGCAACAATAACTTTGAGAACAAAAGTTATTTTATAACTAATTTAGAGAGAAAACTTGACCCAGTGAATCCATTTGGTGGCAAAACTGACCTATTTAGTCTGAATAGTCATATTGTGTTTGATGATGGACTCACTGTGGGCATTATTGTAGTGCAAATGCACTATACAAAAATCTGAAAAATTGTGAACCTTGAAGCACATCTGACCCCAAGGTTTTGGGTAAGGAATGACAGCCTCGTCCTGGTGTCATCCACATTTTGCTTTTGAGGAAACAAAGAGACAGGGAGGAGTGATTTGCCCAAGGTCACAGAGCTGTTAAGGGGCCGTCAGGGTTTGCATGAGGTTGTTCTGGTTCCTGAGCCCTGCCTAGCATCCTTAGGCAACACAGTCCTGAAGGTTCTGACTTCCTACAGAGGAGTGATTTGGGCACTCCATGTGTGGGCAGCTCTGGGACAGCATTGCCCACTGATGCATGCCTGGTGGCTGAGCCCTGACAACTTTCAGCAACACAAATTTACTATTTCCTGCAGATTAGAAACCTGACCTAGGTTTCACTGGACTAAAATCAAAGTGTCGACATTCAGGAGGCCCTCGTGGGTAATCTGTTTCCTTGCCTTTTTCACCTGGTAGAGGCTGCATGCTGTCCTTGGCTGATGGGCCCTTCCTCCATCTTCAAAGCCAGCAAGAGCACACTGAGTCCTTCTCACATGACATCACGCTGGCCTCCTCCTCTGCTTCTCTTCCACTTGTAAGGACTCTCATTATTACATTAAGCACACCCACATAGTTGAGGATACTTTTGCTAGTTTAAGATTAGCTAGTTGGCAGCTGATCGCAGTGACTCACGCCTGTAATCCCAGCGCTTTGGGAGGCCGAGGCGGGTGGATCACCTGAGGTCGGGAGTTCGAGACCAGCCTGACCAACATGGAGAAACCCCGTCTCTACTAAAAATACAAAATTAGCCAGGCGTGGTGGCGCATGCCTGTAATCCCAGCTACTTGGGAGCTGAGGCAGGAGAATCGCTTGAACCTGGGAGGCAGAGATTGCCATGAGCTGAGATTGTACGGCTGCACTCTAGCCTGGGCAACAAGAGCGAAACTCCATCTCAAAAAAAAAAAAAAAGATTAGCTAGTTGGCAAACTTAATTCCACCTGTGAGCTTAATTACCTTCTGCTCTGTAATGTAATACATTCACAGATACCAGTATGTGGACATCTCTGGGAGCTGTTATTCTGCTTACCATACCCAGACACTGAGGAAAACTAACCTGCATTGGTTCCTTCAGTTATCATAGGTACTACCTGGACAGAAACGCCCAGTTATTTAAAGGCTTTCTTTGAGGAGAGCTTGTTCTTGTGAAGGGGACATCAAAGGGTCATCAGAGTGGCAAGTTTGCTGACCTTGTCCTCCCCTCCCTGGGGATGGTCTGGCCAGCTCACAGGTTGAGGCCCACTGGCCAGGAATAGCCCCTAGAGCATGCGGCCCTTGTAGGGACCTTCCAAAGGACAAATCCTTCCAAAGAATTGCAGCCCAGCCACACCTGGCTCAGGCTTCTAATCTGTAGAACTGTAAATAATACATGTTTGTTGCTGTAAGTTACTAACTTTGTGACAGTTCATTACAGTAGCAATAGGTGTCAGTGTACGAGCACCCTCCTTGGGCCAGGTCCCTGGGGTGACATCTTAGCAAAATGTGACTGGAGGCAGGGTGGGTTCTGGAGGCTGTTGACCTATTGACTTGTCCTCTAAGTTCCCTCCCCTCACCCCCAATCCCCCAACAGGCCCTGGTGTGTGTTGTTCCCTTCCCTGTGTTCATGTGTTTTCATTGTTCAACTCCCACTTATGAGTGAGAACGTGTGGTGTTTGGTTTTCTGTTCCTGTGTTAGTCTGCTGAGGGTAATAACTTCCAGCTTCATCCATGTCCCTGTAAAGGACATGATCTCATTCCTTTTTATGGCTGCATAATATTCCATGGTACATATATACCACATTTTCTTTATCCAGTCTATTATTGATGGGCATTTGGGTTGGTTCCATGACTTTGCTATTTGTAAATAGGGGGCTAGGGTTTTGAGGGGGGAAATGTCTCAAGGGGGCAGCGTCAGCTTTCAAAGGGGGAGTGTTGCTCGGTGAAGAGACTTTATTGCTTAGTTGCATGAATTTGGGGCTTCTGTTTTGTTTTGGTTTTAAACACTGGCCGAGAAAACATCACTTACTAAGACTATATAGAATCCTGGCCCCACAGGAAGCCCCATGGTTGGGAATGGGGAATGCAGGGAGGCGACCAAGATACTTTCCCAGAAGCAGGACCAGCTACATAATTTATAGGGCCCAGTACAAAATGAAAATATAGCACCTGTTCAATGATTATTAAGAATTTCAAGATGGTGATAGCAGTGCATTTAACCACGCATGAGGCCCTCCTAAGGATGGGGCCCTGTGTCACCAACCATCACACACCTATTAAGCTGTCTTTGACCAGAAATAGTATACCCTGTGTGTATCCTCAGCACTCTCTGATGTCATGAATGTTTTCAGCACCTGTTTCCCAGGGAATTGACTAAACCATAGGCCTTAGCCCTGAGGACTCACTTTCTTATCACAAAACTTGTCTTGATTGCACTGGATATCTGATGCTGTTTGAAAGATACTTTGCTCAATTCTTGGCGAGAAAACACATTCCAGGGTTGGGAAGGGAGAGTAGGCCGAGGAGGGGAAACTTGACACTTTCTCAGAGACTTTCTGGCTGTGTGACCTCAGACAAGTAACTTAGATTCTCGCCATCTCAGTTCTTCATCTGTACAATGGAGATCATGTTGCTGACCCCAATGTGATGTCATGGGGCTAATTAATTAAGGTGCTCAGAGAGAGGGCCACTGTCTGGCATGTAGGAGCTAAAAGGAGAGCTCTCCGGCTCCTCATCCATCCAGTTTTCTGCCCAGAACTAGTGGTCAGAAGTCTGCAGAAGAGCATGGGCGCAGCATGTAGTTCAGCACAGCTTCCCAGATGAGTTTTGTTTTGTTTTTGTTTTTCAGCAGAATGCATGTTATTAAAATCTCTAAGCTACAGGTTTAGCTTCAGAAACACATATAACCTATGCAGCAAAGTCAGTCCCAACAATCTACTACCAAATGGATTTCTCAGATTAACATAAATATGTATCTCTAGTTAACTTTCTTATTTCTGAATTCTAGAACACATAAACCATACCATTGTTACATAGACAAAATAAGGCATAGCCTTTCTCCATACTTTATGGAACTTCTTCTTCCTCTTGTGAGACTCCCACAGGTTTCTAGAAATGCCTCTGGTGTCTTGGACATTTCTGCTCCATAGAGAAATGCACCAGAGACAGATGCTCGTTGGAAGAGGCTGGCTCACCACAGGTCAATTCCAAGCAGGAGGTTGAGGATCTGCATGTGAATCCTCGGATGCTTTGAAGCTGTCCAGGTCATGCCTTTCCTAGGAAAGCCTCCAGCAGGGATATGAACACCTCTAAGTCAGTTCCTAATGTGCTCCTCACTCAACCATGTTCAGTTTTTCCCTGCTCTCCTAGACAGTCTTCACCTATTTTTAGGATGCTAACTTAAACTCGGTCAGGTCAAATTGACACAACATTCACAGATGCCGAAATGATCTTTTTTTCACATGCAAACTGGGGAGGCCAAGGATATGATTGCAAAAGAGTTAAGGTTTAATATTCATGGATAAGCTCTCTTCCCCATGAAAACACTATGTGGCACTTTACACCAGAGCACTTGGTCTAACAGACACACAAACTCCCCACCGTATCTGGCACAGATACGCTCCACATGCTATATTACGTATAATTTCCATTTTTGTTTTCTCCAGAGAATAGTTTTTCTTCAGTCCTTAAGGACTCAGCTTCTTACATGGGCTTTGGTGGAGGTTGTGGGGCAGCACGTGCAGATGTAAATCGGGATGAAG
Organism: Homo sapiens; assembly: GCF_000001405.40. Taxonomy (NCBI): domain Eukaryota; kingdom Metazoa; phylum Chordata; class Mammalia; order Primates; family Hominidae; genus Homo; species Homo sapiens. The sequence goes on along the minus strand of NC_000004.12, from coordinate 82,776,043 downwards.
GTATTTGATTCTTTGTCCTTTCGGCCTTCATGAGATGAAGTCCTGACTACCTTGCTGTGGATGGCACAATTCACACAGTGATGTAGCTTCACACTTAGAAAGCACATAGGCGTCGAAGATGCTTGCTTCAGAAATGTCTCTGAAAGCTGCAGCCTCTATGTTTCAAATGATGAACTTTTTTTTTTTTCTTTTTGACAGGGTCTCTGTCACCCAGGCTGGAGTGCAGTGGCATGATCACAGCTCACCGCAGCCTCAACCTCCCAGGCTCAAGTGATCCACCAGCCTCAGTCTCCTGAGTAGCTGGGACTACAGGCATGTGCTACCATGCCTGGCTAATTTTTAAATTTTTTCTAGACGGTCTCACTGTGTTGCCCAGGCTGGTCTTAAACTCCTGGCCTCAAGTGATCCTTGTATCTCAGCCTCCCAAACTGCTGGAATTATAGACATGAGCCACCACACCTGGCCACAAACTTCTTAATAGCCTGGTCCTTGAACATGCATCAGGTGCAGTTCTTGCAGCAAATAGGTTGCACGTGGCATGGCCCTTTTGGGCATGACCGTCGTTTCTTCTTTCTCTGTCATCTTGGAAGTGAGGACTTGAGCCCCAGATGTTCTTACTCCCCCACTTTCCTTTATCTGCCCTCAACATGCATACACCTCACCTACACCTATGCCGATGCTTTCCTAGGCCATACCCAAGAGCCATTGAACAAGCCATTGAACTGAGCTTCCATAGCTCCAGCCCTGCTCAGAATCCATGCCTACAAGCAGCTCCCAACCAGGGCGTGAGTGAAATAAGGAGTGAACAGGAGAGGGAAGCAACTGTGGTCCAGTGAATCTGGGGGATATCCACAAACTCATCCTGACCAATGCTTGCCACCTCTTTCCCAGCAGCTGTTCTCTAGCAAGAGGCAGAAGCAATGGCTTTGCTTCTGTCCACCCTGTGCTGGCTGAGCTGGAGGTGCTAATTAGCAGTGAAGTGGCAGGCTGTGGGGGAGAGGAAGGGAGCCAACGGTCTGAACTCCCTGGCCTAGAGAATCTGGAACATGCCAGAGGAAAGACTGGCCGCTGCAGAGAGTGGGTCCTTGGTGAGCTGAGGGCAGTCAGGCAGGGCAGGATTAGTTCCAGGGAATGGGTTTAAGGACTTCTCCCCTGTTGGTGCCTCTAAAGCTTTGCTGATGGTCAAATTCCAAATTCCTCCATCAGTCTCAAAGCTCTTATTAGTCACTTTAATTGGAATCCTGGGAAGACAGAGTGGGTGGAAGAGAAGCGGGCAGGGTGGGAGAGAAACAGAACCAAGAGACTGGGTCTATGTAACAGTTTTCTTCAGGCAGTAAATTCCTCTTACATGCTGGGAGGAGCAAAGGGTGGGGGAAGAGGGAAGGTCACTTTTCTCCCAGGGAGAAGTGGTTTGTGGGTTTCTGTGCTCAAAACCTGGGGCTACTCTTTCTTTTCGAGGAATTTTATCTTACATTTTATAAATTAAGAAGTACTTGTTCATTGTTGACAGCCTAGAAAACACAAGGAAGCAAAAGCAAAAGCAAAAAAGTTACTTGTATCTCCCCATTTTAGAGATACTATTATTAACATTTTGGGCTATAGCCTTTCAGCCTTTTTTCTCTATGCACAATTTGTCTCACTGTCTGCAATTATACTATAACCTTGTTTTGTTAGCTGTTTTTTCATGCGTTAATGCGTCGTAGACATCTTTTCATGTCCATAGATGTGGATCATGGATTTTTTTTTAATGGCAGTATCGTATTCCAACGTTTAGATGTACTTAACCCCCTATTGTTGAAAATTTAGGTTGTTTTTCGTTGTTGTTGCAGTGTTGATGTTATCAGGCTACATCCTTGTAGCTTCATCCTCATGCACATCCTTAATAATTTCCTCAGAATAAATTTCTAGATGCATTTCCATAGGATGTATTTCTATGTGCTTTTTTTTTTTTTTTTGAGATGGAGTCTCATTTTATTGCCCAGGCTGGAGTGCAGTGGCATGATCTTGGATCACTGCAACCTCTGCTGCCTGGGTTCAAGCAATTCTTCTGCCTCAGCCTCCCGAGTAGCTGGGATTACAGGCATGCGCCACCATGCCAGGCTAATTTTTGTATTTTTAGTAAGACGAGGTTTCACCATATTGGCTAGGCTGGTCTCAAACTCCTGACCTCAAGTGATCCACCCGCCTCAGCCTCCCAAAGTGCTGGGATGAGCCACCACGCCCGGCCTCTATGTGCATTTTCAAGGCTTTATACCAGTGCTCTCAACCAGGACTGAGCCCTCACCCCCAAGAGGCATTTGGCAATGTCTAGAAATGTGTTTGAATGTCACAACTGGAGGGGGAGATTGCCGCTAGCATCTAGTGGATAGAAACTCCCCACATCAAGGAATTATCAAGTCCAAAATGTTAATAGTGCCATGGTTGAGAAACTTTGCTTAGACATGTGGGTATTTTAATTCTTTGTAATATGTGTGGGGCTGGAGATTCTAAGCCTTGGAAGAACACGAGGTGGGGGTACTCAGTTTAGCTGGCTGAAGCTCAGCCAAAACCAACCCAATCTCATCCTCCCCTCCACTTGCAGAAGGACTTGGGTGGCCCTGCTGATTTGGAGTAGCGAAATGACTGATGTGTGCTACTTGGAGCCTGTCCCTGCATCTAGGAGACAAAGAGAGGCAGGATGCCCTGGAAGGAGGTGCAGAAGTGAGAGAGAGGCAGAGAGAGAAGGAATGGGGAGGATGTGTGGTGTGGTGCTGAACAATATAATCCTTGTTGCAATTAAAATCCTTGTTGCAACTATGTCGTCTTTAGGGACTTGAAGGCCACTTCCCAGCACTGAGGACCCAGGCAGGGAGGACACATGCAATTGCAGAATGCGGGAGGAGGGAGTGACCAGAAAGACTCTATTGTACCCCTCGAAGCTGGCATAGGGAGCATGAAGTCCTGTGTCCTGGGGTGCTGGCCAGGGCCTGCAGGATCAGGAATGAAAAACATCAGTGCTCCCCACACCATGCATTGCAGTTCTATGAGATCTGAAATGTTGCCCTATCCATTAAGTCTCCTTCTCAAGTAAACCTATGACTCATTGAACTAGCCACTTTATTTGTTCATCTTTGGAATGCATCACAATCATTCATTCATAACCCATATAATTACTGAGCACCTACTAGATGCCAGGCACTATGAGAGGCAATGAATAAAATAGAAACACTTTCTGCTGTCATGGAGGAAACAGTCCCTGACAGTTCATCAAGCAGCAGAAATTCTATGAAGAGGACATACAGGGTTCAGGGGAGCACAGCGGGGGAGCACCCCACCTAGGGCGCATGGGGTCCTACAAGAGGTGCTTCTGCTCTTGTCACGGGGAACCTTTCTGCCTCCATGTGAGAAAGCCCAGGCCAGCCAGTAGAGAGAGAGGCCCAGCCATCCCTGCTGAGACTAGACATGTATGAGGCCATCCTAGACCATCCAGCCATAGCGAGACCATTTCAGATGGGAAGACCCACCCTGACAACCCATAGAATTGTCACAAATGGTGAATTGTTGTTGCTTCAAGCCACTGAGTTAGGGATATGTTTGTAAACAATCAAAGCTAACCAGCACAAGTCATGTGGCTGCTCAAGAGTTATTGACAGAACGGTGGGGTGCTATAATTGGCCAGACCTGGGTCAAATGCCCACTTATATGCCCAAGAGACTCTACTCTGTAACTGAAGACATGTTGGGAAAGCTTACCTGGCAGATCCAAAGGATACTTGTCACTGTCTGATGTAGTGACGCATGGACAAAAATGGCCTCAGCATCTTCCAGTCTGTTCTTTCTCCTGTATTCTCAGTCTTGGTTAGTAGCACCACCTTCCATCTGATTGCTAAAGCCAAAAATCTCTGTCATTCTGGACTCCTTTCTTTCCCTCAACTCACACATTTATTCAATCACTACCTTCTGCTGAAATCGCCATCAAAATTTTTTTTATTATATCCCTGGATATTCTTTGCCCTTCGAGACTCAGCCTGGGCTTTACCTGACCAGGAAACTTTCCTGAAACCCCAAGTTGGGCTAAATAACTCTCTTGAATGCATATCTGTACCTTACTTAACACATTCTATGGCTGCTTTTGATCATGAGTGTGGCTCCCTCACTGGACTGGAAGCTCCCTGAGGGTAGGGACTGTTCACAAGATGTGGTTGGGAATGATCATGCAACAGATGTGTGTGGAACTGAACCAAATTTCTCTGACACAGTTTTCACCTTTTTTTATTAACTTAGATTTCAGAAAAAAGGAATGAACTCAAAGCCTTTTGTCCCTGAAGGATTTAAGGGGAAGCTGGTCGGTAGTGGCCTGCCAGGGTTAATGAAGGGATTCAGGAGGCAGGTGGAGAGGCAGGCATGGGACCATGTGGTCTGTGGCTGTAGATTTGAACACTACAACCTCCCCAGCCTCCCCAAACTGTGTGATTTTAAGCAAAATATTTACTTCTTTGAGTCACCTTCTCCTATCTGCAAGAATACAGTAACTGTATTTTTCTAGTAGGGTTGCTGTGAAAGTTGAACAAAGATAACATAGGCATAGCGTCCTACACCGTTGGTGGGTCCTTAATGAAATTAGTTTCTTTCTTTTCTTCTTGAAATACCCCCTTGTCTTGCAGCAGGTTCCCTCAGAATCAGAGCCTGAGAGAACACTTTGAGTATAAGTAGTTTGCTTGGGAGGTGATCCCTGAAAGGAGTGAGAAGTGAGATGGAGATGAGAAAGAACCCAGGGTATGTTAGTAAACCAGCTACCAGTCAGCTCATTGGCTCGTGCCTGTAATCCCAACACTTTAGGAGGCTGAGGCAGGAGGATTGCTTGAACCCAGGAGTATGAGACCAGTCTGGGCAATATGGCAAAACCTAGTCTCTACAAAAAATACAAAAACATTAGCCAGGCATGGTGGTGCGCACCTGTAGTTCCAGCTACTCAGGAGGCTGAGGTGGGAGGATCACCTGAGCTCAGGCAGGTTGAGGCTGCAGTGAGCAGTGATTGTGCCACTGCACTCCAGGCTGGGTGACAGAGTGAGATCCTGTCTCAAAAAACAAAAAACAACAAACAAACAAAAAAACAATAAACCAGCTATTACTGTGGGCTACTGGGGCCATCTGTCTGGGGCCATCTGGGCCGTTGTGTAGATTAGAACATGCCTCAGAGGACGAGAGAATAGGAGGCATTTATCCACCCAACTCTGTCCACCATTGGCTCATGGATGCTGTTAGGGCATTAACAACCCAGCTCTCTGTTTTGTTTCCTGGACTGGGAAAAGTTCTCAGGCAGAGAATCAGAAGAGCTTGTGGTAAGAAGCCATTGGCACAGATAGGAACGGTAAGAGCCAAGGGGACATGTGCAGAGCCCTGGCAGCCTTGGCTACACTGCCTTTTTGCTGAAATGATATTCTTCATTCCCATACTTATTATTTCTTATACTTAACAAATATTTCCCTGAATAAAGAGGATTTGAAATAAAATACAAGTGGGCTGTTTTCTCTTATCACTGTGAATGGATGAAATCCCTAGAAATGCAACTGCTTGCTTACTGTACTCTGAAAGTATAGTAAGAGCAGCAGCAGAACTGTCAGCAGTGGTTAAGCGGATGATCAGCTGCAACTCATCAACCCTTAGGGCTTTCAGGTACTCCTGCTCTGATGATCACAGCTATCAAAGAGAAGGGAGATGGGAAAGGGAAAAATACATGGGGGAAAATGTCATGAATATTCTCTTATAAATTGGGGTGTGACCCGCATGTTCTCACTCATAAGTGGGAACTGAACAATGAGGACACTTGGACACAGGAAGGGGAACATCACACACCGGGGCCTATCGTGGGGTGTGGGGAGGGGGGCAGGATAGCATTAGGAGATATACCTAATGTAAATGACGAGTTAATGGGTGCAGCACACCAACATGGCACATGTATACATATGTAACAAACCTGCACGTTGTGCACACGTACCCTAGAACTTAAAATATAATAAAAAATAAAAAATAAATAAATTGAGGTGTGACAGGAAGTTTACAGAAAGGGTGTGGGAGGGGAAAAACAAATGCATTTCAGTTAGGTATTTTTCTGAGCATTTTTTTTTTGTTTCTGTAAGTTTTTATTTTGATATAGTTTTAAACTTATAAAAAAGTTGCAAGAATAGTACAAGGAACTCTCTTATACCCGAAAAGTTCCTTTATCTAGATTAACCATCTATTTACAGTTGACCCCCTTCCTCCCTCTCACTCTGTAGTACCTAGGTATAAATACATATTTTTAAGCCATTCAGAGTAAGTCAGAGACATTGGGACCCTTTACCATTAAATACTTCCAGATGTATTTCCTGAGAGCAAGAATGTTCTTTTATATAATCATATTCAGTTATTTCTGAGCATTTTTAACCACTTTGCAGTATTTTCAAGTGACTCTCAACTACAGGAAATTCTTTACCAAAAAAGAAAAAAATGCATCAATATAGACTGAATCAGTACAATTGTCAAGTTTTCCCCAGTTCAATACTGAAAGGCAGGTTAAGGCTTACAGACTACCAAAATTTTATTGATTTTTGTATCAATTTATTAAAAAAATCTCTAATCCTCTGTAAATTGGTGAAACATTATGGACTCTGGAAAACACTACCTACTTGGCTAATTTCTTTTTCCCCTAATAGTCTACTGCAATGTGATGGCCCCTTATTAATTTATTAACCATGAGAGTCCTATTAAAGGACAGAGTATTATAGCTGGAGGGGATCTTAGGGATTCCTCTAGCCCCACTTTATAGTTAAGCAAACTGAGGATCACAAAGGCATTGCCCTCACAATCTCAGGGCAGTGGCTGGGAATGGAGCTCAGAGATCTTCACTCTAGACTCAGAAGACCCTTCAAGGAGAACCAGTCTAATGTGCTTGAGGGGAGACCATGGGGGCTCCTAGGGACCTGCGAAGAGCCAGAGTGGGAGATGGTGAGTTGAGGAGAATGACACCTCAGCCTCCAACCTCCAGCCCCCGTTAGACAGTCCTCTTTTCTTCTCTGTTTCATATGTTAAACATAAGGTTTTCTGTGAAAAGGGGGCCTTACTACTTAAAAAAAAAAAAAAAGTCTTAGGTTTCAAGGCAGTCTCAGTATTACCTGAAAAATTGATGCAGAGCTGGGCTCAGTCCTGAGCCTTCCACCTTCACACTACACCTCTCATAATCTGCCTGCACCTCTTCTTTCAAAGGAAAAATCAATGCTCTGGGGGACAAGAGGCAAAACTCGTTTAAAAAATTAATCCTATCAAAGGATGATTTCATTTTTCTAAAGCCCCCCTCTACCATTTTCATTCTTCTTTGACTCGCACCTTTACTTTATGCTCAGCAAGACGCCACACATACCTCCACTGATGCTTTCCAGAACCAGGACACTAATCTTACTCTCGCTAGATGATCAGTGTTCGTATAATTTTAATTGCAAATAATGCATTTCATTACAGATAATTCATATAACTCTTGCTCTGATTTGTAATACCAAGATCATCAACTTTGCCTTACCTCTGCCCTTCACTAACTCACTTAATAAAAGATGAGGTCTTATTTTCATTACCTTATTCTTCCTAATTTTTGGTCAGACTTTTTTTTAACTTACTAGAATATTGTTCCTTATTTTGAAAATTATTATCCTATTAGTTATTTTAGGCCAATGTTATTTTTCCTCTGTCAGGCAACAGTGTTTTCAATTTATCAGATCACTCCTGTAAATAATGGGGTTTAGTGCCAAACAGACTTGGATTTCTATTTCTGCCATAAGCCAGCAAATGTCCCTTAATAAGTCTTGAGTCTCAGTTCCCTCATCTATAAGTGGGAATGATAATTGTGGTATTTATTTTATGGGATTGCTTTGATTACTAAATTGTAATTCATGTGGAGTACTTAGAATGAGTATCTGATATGTAATGAATATTTGCTAGTTATTATTTTTATATAGGAGAAATTTTTGGCTAATTTAAGTTAGCTAAATAAATGAGACAGGTGTGATCTTTAAAATTTAGTTGTTTTTTTCTTGTAAGTTTGACACTTGAGTCATATAGAATAATTAAAATTATTATTATTTTCCTTCAAAAAGAGGACAAGTGGGAGTACATTTATGCCTCATGCTGTGGGTAGCCCAGTAGAACCAGAGGGTCCTCTGTAGCATGCATGTGAACTTGTCAGCCTGATCAAAGTGTCATTATTATCTTGTGATGTGGGTTTTTAGTGTGGCATTCCTTTCCATGTATCTTTAGTTTTTAAGTATTTGTCAAAAAATATAGAGGAAAAGAAAATGTATCAAAGACTTTTAAATAAAAGAAGTTAAGAGAAAAAAGGAAAAAGCCAGATGTATGACAGAAAGATGTAGAAACACTTTCTAGCAAAATTCTCTGGAGACAATTTAGGCTTCTGCTTCCAGCCAAGATGGAGTAACAGGGCCTGGGTTTGTCATTCTGTCTGAAACAACTAAAAAACTAGACAAAATATGTGAAAGATGGGTTTTCAGATGTTGGACATCAGGCAGAACAGGACGGAGATCTCCAAGAAAGGAGATGCAAACAAGGTGAGCCTACAATTGCCCTGATAGACTTCCTAGAGAGAGTTTTCAGGCTGCAATGCCAAGCAGAGTGCAGCCATGTCCTTGAGTCGAGGAGACAGAGCTAGAAGTCTGGGGAGGCCAAAATGGCTAGAGTTCACAAAGAAGAGTTCCAGAGAGAAGAGAGCTGCAGAGAGAGGTGGAGAAGAGAGCTGCAGCAGATAGAGTGAGCTGCAAGAAGAGACAGAGAGAGAGAGAGAGACAGAGGGAAAATGCTGTGGAGATGTGCAGACGGTCTCCTTCAAGTATTTTAGCTGAGTACTACTCAGTGCATGCATGTGAGAAAACTGCCCAATGTCAGGGAAAGAACCATTCAAAAGGAACAGAGGGAACAACCCCACAGGTCTGGGAAAACTGTATTCCCACCAGCCGGAATGGAAAACCTCATAATTCATGGGGCATTGGATAGAGTACTCAGAAGGATATTGCCTCAGTATTTGGGTAAAATTATCTCTAGAATTGGCCAGGCACGGTGGATCATGCCTGTAATCCCAGCACTTTGGGAGGTCGAGGTGGGCGGATCACCTGAGGTTAGGAGTTTGAGACCAGCCTGGCCAGCATGGTGAAACGCCATCTCTACTAAAAATACAAAAATTAGCTGGGTGTGCTGGCGCATGCTTGTAGTCCCAGCTACTCTGGAGGCCGAAAAAACTTTTAAAATAAGCCTTGAAAGAATCAAACTATTTCCAAGTAACTTAACTGGATTCCAGAACAAAGCTCAACAATCTTTATAGGAACACAAAAAATATGCAGCACTCAACCATGCAAAATTCACAATGTCTGATATCCAATAAAAAATTACAAGGTATGCAAAGAAGCAGGAAGATGCAACCCATGTTGAAGAGAAAAAGCAATCAATAGAAACAGAGTCGGAAATGACACTTATGAAAGAATTAGTGGACAAGACCACTAAAGCAATTGGGATAATTATATTTTATGTGTTAAGAAAGTAGAGGAGAAATTGAGCATGAAAAGTAGAGACATGGAAGTTGTTGAAAAAGACCCAAATTAAACTTCTAGAGATGGAAAATACAATATCTGAGATGAAAATACATTGGATAGGATTTATTTACACACTGCAAAAAAATAAATTAGTGAATTTGAAAACAAAGCAATAGAAATTATCTATAAAAAGTACACGGAGGGAAAAACACTGGAAAAAGAAGGAAAGAACAGAGCATCAGTGAGCTGTGGGACAGCGTCAGATGGCTTAATATGAGTGTAATGGAGTCCACAGAATGGTGGTGGGAAAGGAAAAATATTTGAAGAAACACTGGCTAAAATATTTTCAAATTTGATTTAAAAAATTCCACTTATTCAAGAAGCTCAACAAACTATAAATACAAGAAATATGAAGAAAACCACACCAATGTACACAAGAATAAAATTGCTTAAAGCCAGTGATAAAGAGAAAATCTTAAATTAGCCAGAGAGAAAAGAACAGTATAGTTGGCCCTCTGTATTCATGGGTTCTGCATCCATGGATTCAGCCAACTGCAGATCAAAAATATTTGGTGGGGGGCATGCACAGTGGCTCATCCCTGTAATCCCAGCACTTTGGGAGGCCAAGGCAGGCGGATCACTTGAGGCCAGGAGTATGAGACCAGTCTGGCCGACATGGTGAAACCCCGCCTCTACTAAAAATACAAAAATTAGCCAGGTATGATGGCGGTGCACACCTGTAGTCCCAGCTACTCAGGAGGCTGAGGCACGAGAATCACTTGAACCTGGGAGGCAGAGGTTGCAGTGAGCCAAGATCACACTGCTGCACTCCAGCTTGGGTGACAGAGCAAGACTCTGTCTCAAAAAAAAAAAAGGAAAAATAACAATGAAACAATAAATAATACAAAAAGCAATACAGTATAACAATTATTTATATAGCATTTACATTGTGTTAGGTATTATAAGTAATCAAGGGATGATTTAAAGTATATGGCAGAATGTATGTAGGTTATATGCAAATACTATGCCATTTTATCTAAGGTATTTGGGTATCCTTATGGAGTCCTGGAACCAATTCACTGTGGATACCAAGGGAAGACTATGTATACTATAGACAGAGGAAAAAAACAAGGATGATGACAGCAGACTTCTTGTTGGAAACAATGCAAGCCAGAAGGCAGTGGAGTAATATCTTTAATGCACTGAAAGAAAAAATTCCTATCAACTGAGAATTCTATATCCAACAAAAATATCTTCCAAAACTGAGGATAAAATCCTTTTCAGACATACAAAAATTAAAAAAATTCATTTCCAGTAGACATGCACTACAACAAACATTAAAGGAAGTCCTTCAATTAAAAGAAAAATCTACCAACTGGAAATCTTGATCAAAATAAAGGATTAAACAGCAACAGAAATGGTAAATAGTAGATAAATATAAAATAAATTTTCGTATTTTAAAAATATCTTAGCCGGGCATGGTGGCTCATGACTGTATTCCCAGCACTTTGGGAGGCCAAGGTGGGTGGATCACCTGAGATCAGGAGTTTGAGACTAGCCTGACCAACATGGTGAAACACTGTCTCTTCTAAAAATACAAAAATTAGCCAGCCCTGGTGGCACATGCCTGTAATTCCAGCTACTTGGGAGGCTGAGGCAGGAGAATCGCTTGAACCCAGGAGGTGGAGGTTGCAGTGAGCTAAGATTGCACCGTTGCACTGTAGCATGGGCAACAAGAATGAAACTCCATCTCAAAAAAAAAAAAAGAAAGAAAAGAAAATATTTAAAAGATCGTGTTTAAAGCAAAAATAGTAGCAGTGTATTTTGAGGTTTTTAGATATAAAATATTTGAAATAATTTCACAAAGGCCAAGAAGGGGGAAATGAAGTAGGTTGTTGTAAGATTCTTATATGATACATGAAGTACTATAATATTACTTGAAGGTAGATGATAATAAGTTAAAGATACATACTATGAACCCTAAAGCAACCACTAAAAACAAAGAGTTATCATTAATAAGCCAATAAAGGCAATAAAATGGAATCATGAAAAATGCTCAACTAATTCACAGAAAGCAGAAAAGGATGAAGATATGAAAAAGAACAATTAGACAAAAAGAAAATATGTAGCAAAATGATAGATTTAAACAGCCATATTAATAATAGCACCAAATGTAAATGATCTAAATCAGGGCTGTCCAATACAACTTCCTGTGATGATGCAACTGTTCTTTTTATCTGTGTTCTTTTCTACCTAGTCACATGTGGCTCTTGAGCACTTGAAATGTGGCTCGTGAACTGAATTTTTAATTTTATTAAATTAATTTAAATTTACATAGTTGTAGGAGGCTAGTGATGTAATGGACAGTAGAGTTCTAATACCCCAGTTAAAAGGCAGAGATTGTCAGATTGGTTTAAAAAGTGAGGCCCAATGATATGCTGCAAAAGAAACTCTCTTTAAACATGAAGACACAAACATTAAAAATAGGAGGATGGAAAAAGATACATCACGCAACATCAATCAAAGAAGGCTGGAGTGGCTCTATTAATATCAAAGTAGATATCAAGAGGACATAACCACTCATGTGGAGATAAAAACTTCATGCAGTCATCCTTGGGATTATATTGTTGCTGCTGGGGGCAGCTGAGGAAAAAAGGGAATTGTATTGGTTTGCTAGGGCTGCTATAACAAAATACCACAGACTAGATGGGTTAAATAAAGAGATGTGTCTCACAGTTCTGGAGGCTGGACGTCCAAGGTCAAGATGTGGGAAGGCTGGCTTGCTCGGAAGCCTCTCCTTGGCTTGCAGATGTCTGCCCTCTTCCTGCCGCTTCACGTGGTCTTTCCTCTGTTCCTGCACACCCCTGGGTTTCTCCTCTGGGTGTCCACATTTTCTCTGGGTGTCCACATTTCTCCTCTTATGATGCCAGTCAGATTGGGTGACAGTCCACCTTAACACCTAATTTTAACTTAATCACTTTTTTTTGAGACAGAGTCTCGCTTTGTCACCCAGGCTGGAGTGCAGTGGCACGATCTCCGCTCACTGCAACCTCTGCCTCCCGGATTCAAGTGATTCTCCTGCCTTAGCCTCCTGAGTAGCTGGGACTACAGGTGTGCACCACCACACCTGGCTAATTTTTGTATTTTTAGTAGAGATGGGTTTCACCATGTTGGCCAGGCTGGTCTCGAACTCCTGACCTCAGGTGGTCCACCTGCCTCAGCCTCCCAAAGTGCTGGGATTACAGATGTGAGTCACCATGCCTGGCCACGTAATCACTTCTTAAAAGGCCCTATCTCCAAATACAAAACAGTCACATTCTGAGGTACTGAGGTTAGGCTTCAGCATATGAGTTGGGTGGGAACACGGTTCAGCCCACAACAGATAGGGACATTGTCTATCACAGCTGTCCTCCCCAGGAACAGTGCCTTGGGGCTCCCGTGGTGTGCTGTAATTATTGGGCAGCAGGCTGTGCCTCTCTGACCTTAGGATGACAGTGAGGCATGGAGAGCCCTACAGAGGGGGACCAGGAAGGCGATGGGGCTGTGCTCCACCGCTCAGGAGAGTTGTGGAGGAAAGTAGAATGGGGAGGAAGGAAATCTGTGTCCACCCAGAATCCTGAGTTGCTTCTACTGTCTTTGTTGAAACTTCTGACAACACGTTCATGCCTCTCAGATATATCCTTTTTGTTAATTAAAGTGTCACTATATTTTTTTCCTTTTGAATTAATGAAAGAGAAACTCCAAATAAACAATGTTGTTTCTTCAGATACCCAGGAGAACCACTGCCTGCAAACACGGACCCTTCCTCAAACCCACCAGCTCGCTCCACCCACAACAAGTGGCCTCTTATTGTCATGGCAATATTTGTTTTTATCTAACGTGGAGGTACTAGTTCTGGCTTCACTTTGCCGAATGTTAGGAGACTGGACCTAAGTCATCAATTTAGCCCCTAGAGGCTGGATGCAATGGCTCACGCCTGTAATCCCAGCACTTTGGGAGGCCGAGGCAGGTGGATCACCTAAGGTTGGGAGTTCGAGGCCAACCTGGCCAACATGGTGAAACCTCGTCTTTACTAAAAATACAAAAATACCTGGGGTGTGCCTGCAATCCCACCTACTTGGGAGGCTGAGGCAGGAGAATCGCTTGAACCCGGGAGGTGGAGGTTGCAGTGAGCCAAGGTCACACCACTGCACACCAGCCTGGGCAACAGAGTGAGACTCCATCTAAAAAAAAAATTAGCCCCTTGAGTGTAAGGTCTCTCCTCTCCTCTCCCCCTCCCCTCCTCTCCCCCTCCCCTCCCTTCCCCTCCCCTCTCCTCTTCTTTTGAGACAGGGTCTCACTCTCACCCAGGCTGGAGTGCAGTGGCGTGATCTTGGCTCACTGCAGCCTCTACTCCCTGGGCTCAAGCGATCCTCTCACTTCTGTCCCCCATGTAGCTGGGACCACAGGCACCTACCACTACTCCTGGCTACTTTTTGTATTTTTTTGTAGAGATGGGGTCTTGCCATGTTGCCCAGGCTAGTCTCAAACTCCTGAGCTCAAGCAGTCTGCCCTCCTTGGCCTCCCAAAGTGCTGGGATTACAGGCATGAGCCACTACGCCCGGCCATGGAGTGTAAGGTTTCTAGGTGAGGTTTGAAATTTGGAAGAGAGATTAGAAACGAGGCTGGGGCTATATTCTCACTCATAGGTGGGAATTGAACAATGAGATCACATGGACACAGGAAGGGGAATATCACACTCTGGGGACTGTTGTGGGGTGGGGAGAGGGGGGAGGGATAGCATCGGGAGATATACCTAATGCTAGATGACGAGTTAGTGGGTGCAGTGCACCAGCATGGCACATGTATACATATGTAACTAACCTGCACAATGTGCACATGTACCCTAAAACTTAAAGTATAATAATAATAAAAAAAAAAGAAACGAGGCTGGGAGAAGGTGCTGTGGGAATGGAGGCTTCAGGGCCCCTGAGCTACATGAGCTGTAAAAGAAGTTAGGGTGAGTCTATAGAGCAATCTAAAACAGATGGATTTCCTGAAATCACCACTGTCTCCATGGAAACAGCTCAGCTGGCTCTATCAGTTGCTATAAAGTGTTCTCTCCTTGGTGTGGATGGAATCTTCGTGTTAGTGGAGGAAGAGGACCCAGGACAGAACATATTGGACTAAGCTTAGAAGGGAGAAGACAAGATTTGGGTTAGCTATTAGAGGCTTAGAAAGATTCTCCCAAGTGTTGAGGAGATGTCAGACGTTGCCTGCTCTAATGATTTGTATGAGAATAGTGGCAGCAGTTCCTGAAGTTGGAAGGCTTTGGTACCTTTCTTCCTGCTGCTAGACTTTGATAACCAGAGGACACCTGCCAACCTGTAATTGATTCATTTGATGAAATATTTATAGAGTACCTAGCATTGGATTCTGTCAAAAGCATCCATCATGCTGGTGAAATACATGCCCATCCCTGTGAATGTCCATTCCTTGTTTCTTGTGATAGATTTGCCACAAATAAAGGCTAATATTCTGAATTCTCCCAATGGCAAGCTGCTTATTTTCACCCACACTCTTGTTATGTGTGTGCTATGCTCAGGGCACTGTGTTAGGTGTTGAAGTTATAAAAAGGAATGAACCAGGCACAGGCCCTTCCTTGGGAAGCTGACGGTCTAGATAGGGGGATGAATTGTGGTGCGGCAAGAATGAATTGCCATACAAGGTGGCGTATGCCCCAAATTAATGGTCCAGACAATGAGCTCCACAGGAATCCAAAAGGGCAGCCTTGTTTCCAGGGATGGGGGAGGTTCTAATGGGGATCAGGCTTGAATGGGCTTGACTGAGGGCAGGACTTGGGTAAGATGGAGAGTGGTAGGGTCTTGAAAACAAGTGAGTTAGAGACCAGCCTGGGCAACATGGTGAAACCCTGTCTCTACAAAAAAATACAAAAATTAGCCGGATGTGGTGGTGCGTGTGTAGAACCAGCTACTCGGGAGGCTGAGGTGGGAGAGTCACTTGAACCTGAGAGGCAAAGATTGCAGTAGCCGAGATTGTGCCACTGCATTTCAGCCTGGGCAACAGAGAGAGATTTCGCCTCAAGACAAAATAAAACGGGTGAGAAGGAGAGTGGCAGGAGAAGAAGTGCAATGACAGGAGTGAGTGTGGGTGGCTGTTCAGGGGAAAGGAGCAGACTTATTCAGGGGAAAGGAGAAGAAGGGTTCAGGGCATGGATGGTGGAAAATCAAATCAGCAAGGGAGGGTAGGGGCTCAGGTTGTCAGGACTGTGAAGGTTAACACAGGGAGTTTAGACAATCCTTTAGGCAGTGGAGGACTGAGAAAAGTTTTAGAGCAAAGGAGGCGTGGGGTTTCTTGCAAAATAATGCTGTAGGATGCTTAATCTGGTAGCTGTGCATAGGTTGGATTGAGGGTAGGCACTAGAGACAGGGAGATGGAATGGGAAATTGCTTCAGGGGTTATGGAGGTTGAAGGAGTGGAAAGAAAGTGATGGGTAGAATGGATGGGCACCATAGATGCTGGGAAGGAACAGACTGGGACTGACTGGCTCCAGCACAAGAGGCAGAGGGAGCACATGAGGTTTGAGATTGGATCAATAGGAAAGGAATTATTACCTTTAAGAGAAGTTATGCCTACCAGGTATCAAACCCTGTGTTAAGCAAAAGGATAAGAAGGTTCTTGCCCTTAGGTAACTCATAATCTCTAGGAGAAGACAAACATGATTATAGATGCTAGGGTGGAAGGACTTACTTTGTACAATGAAGGCCCAAAGGAAGGAGTGGAGGGTAGGTAGGAGCATTTGCCAGGAAAAGGTTTACAAGAGATAACTTTTTTTTTTTTTTTTTTTTAAGACGGGGTTCTTGCTGTGTTGCCTAGGCTGGACAGGAACACCTGAAATCAAGTGGTCTGCCTGCCTTAGCTCCTGAGCAGCTGGGACTAAGTGCTGCTGCGCCCAGCTGAAATGATCCTGAGCAGAGTGTTGAGGGAGCTTGTCTGAGGGGGAAGTGTAAGTGAAGGGTCATGCTTGACTTCAAAGTTGGTTTAGGGTGAAGCAGAACATCTGACTGCCAAGCTCCCGTTGGTTCCATTTGTTGTTACGGAGGGCCGCTTGTGAAGCTGCCTGGGGCAGGAGCTCTAGGAAGAAAGAGAGGAGGTGCGCTCCCTGCCCTTGGGGAACTGCCCACATGGTGGGGAAAAAGACGGCCTTCCTCCAGCCTTCAAGATATGCAGTGCTGAGGCCCTGCATCCCGCCAGCTGCCACTGTGGCTGCCGGGAACAAGGGAGCAAGCAGAATGAACTCAATTCCCTGCTGTCATGGAGGCCACATGCTTGTGAAGAACTCACTCAGATAGAAGGCACAGTCAGGCTCAGTCGCAAAAGACAGGTTGAGGGAAGTGCTGGGGCTGTAGAGGAAAGGAACCGTGATGCGTTCTGACCCGAGATGGCCGGGAGCTGAAGAGGGGTGACCAGGGACCCGCGCAGCAGTTGCCGGTGTCAGCGGGGCGCTGGGGCGGAGGCTTGAGTCAGGGTGTGCCTCAGGATTGTAAGGGGATGTGCTTGTTGTTTCGCAGGATTGTAGGGGATGTGCTTGTTGTTTCGCGGGGGAGGCGCCTCTGCTGCTGTGACAGCTGAAGCCAGGCATGAGTGACCCTTTGTGTCGTGTGCTGTCAGTGGAGTGAGGCTGTCAGTCCTTCTTTCCTGAGCTCCGCGGGTGCCGGCCCATCTTACAGTGTCCAGCTGAACACTGATGGGACCCGGTAAGGAAGGCCCGCCCTCCCGGCCCATGCTCACAGAGCCTGTGTCCCTCACCCGCACCAAAATCCTGTCCCGCTGACCCAAAGCTTATTTCCTAGCATTACAGAGTGGGGTCTCTGAGCAGGAAATGGGTGTTCTGGGTCATATTACGTCCCTCAAATTCATATGTTTAAGTCTTAACATATGAATGTTAAGTTTCTTCCCCAGTTTCTCAGAATATGGCCTTAATGGGAAATAGGGTCTTTATGAGGAAATGAAATTAAAATGATGTCATGAGGGTGGACCCACAGAGTCTCGCTCTGTGGCTCAGGCTGGAGTGCAGGGGCACCATCACAGCTCACTGTAGCCTTGAACTCCTAGACTCAAGTGGTCCTCCTGCCTCCCAAGTATCTGGGACTACAGGTGTGCACCACCATGCCTGGCTACTTTTTTTTTGTTTTTGGAGAGACAGGGATCTTGATATATTGCCCAGTCTGGTGTTCAACTCCTGGCCTCAAGTGATCTTCCCATCTTGGCCTCCCAAAGTGTTGGGATTACAGATGTGAGACACTGCACCCCACTGGTTGTAGTGTTCTGTGGGCCTCCCCCTCTCCCAGGAGGTGAACAGCTTGCTCTGGATTCACTGTCATCCTCTGAACGTCTCCAGAGTCCTCCAGATTGTTTCTACTTATTCCTCACAGAGATGCACTCACTAACCCAGTCTCTTGGAAATGGGGTGCAATCACCCCACCAGCTGATCTGTTTTCTGTTGTTTACTTTTTTGACTTCTCCAGAGCAGCCAAATGAACATCATCTTCAAGATAATCTTGGCGTAGCCGTTAATGGATTCTGCACTGCAAAAGTGTTTGAAGCCAGTGGCTGTACTTTAAAAAAATGCATCCTGTTGGTATTTTTCATGTGTTAGGACTCTCTTTTCCTGAAGTTTATATAGGGCTTAGGATGTTCCAGGTACAAAGCTAAGGACCATATGTTATTTTGTTCATTCTTCACAATACCTCTGATGGAGGTACTAAAATCATCCCCATTTTGCAGACGAGGCTCTACAAGATAAGTGATTTGACCAAGGTCACATGGCCAGTAAGTGCGGGAGCCGGGATATGTGCCCAGCACTTTCACTCCAGAGTCCTTAACCACCTCACCCACAATAATAGATTTGGGTTTGAATACCAGTGCAGTCACTTACTAGCTGTGTGGCTTCAGGCAGTATAATTCCCGTCTCTGGATTTTGGTTTCCTCAGCTGTAAAATGCGAATAGAAAGACCTCCCTCACGGGGGCAATTCAATTCAGTTGAATTGAATGCTAGGTACTGAGGGTCTAAAGAGATGAGCCCCACCCTTAAGGCCCACAGGGTCTCATTGTGTTTGGGTGAGTGTGAAATGCACAGGGCTATGGGAACCCAGGGTGAAGAGCCCTCCTGGGTTCGGGGTCCTGGGAAGCCATCTGAAGGAGATGATGACTGGATCAAGACCTAAAGGACTTTTCCACAGAAGAACCACACAGACAAAGGCATAGAACTTTGCAACAGCAGGATGGAGATGAATTGCAACTCAGGGTAACCAGAGAGTGACGGGAAAGGAGATGGGAGAGGAGAGACTGAAAGCGAGGATGGAGAGAGGGTGGGGAAGGCTCCTTATGTGTCACACTAAGAAGTTTGGGTTTTCCCTCTGTGGAAGGTGAGGTGCCATGGAAGGGTTTTGAGAATGGGAGTGGGATCACATGTAGTGGCTCACGCCTATAATCCCAGCACTTTGAGAGGTCAAGGTGGGAGGATTACTTGAGCCCAGGAGGCAGAGGCTGTGGTGAGCCAAGATTGCGCCACAACACTCCAGCCTGGGTGACAGAGGGAGATCCTCTCTCAACAACAACAACAGTTTGGTTTCATGTCTTGATATGCAGTGTGGGTGGCTCTATGGAGGATGGATTTGAGGGGGGCAAGACTACAGACAAGGAGACCAAGGAGGGAGATGTTGTGTTGGTTCTAGTGAGAGATGGTGAGGGCGGCTACAAGTAGGAAAGAGCATGGAATGGAGAGGACTTTGAACTTGACAGGTCCTGATAATTGCATGGACGGGGGGAGGGGGGTGGGGGAGGAACAGTCTTAGCTAATGCTGCCTCAGCTTCCCGAGTAACTGGGATTACAGGTGCACACCACCACACCTGGCTAATTTTGTATTTTTAGTAGAGATGGGGTTTCACCATGTTGGCCAGGCTGGTCTTGAACTCCTGACCTCAAGTGATCCACCTGCCTCAGCCTCCCAAAGTGCTGGGATTACAGGCGTGAGCCACCTTGCCCAGCCTAAAGAGGTTTTATAGATAAGAAAGTTGAGGCATAGAGAGGCTAAGTGACTTGGCTGAATGGCACATGGCTAGCAAGTAACCAACTGGGACTCACAGCCGTGTAGTTTAACTCCAGCGCCTGCTCTCATCATCACTGTGCCATGCCTGTCCTGACTGGTCCAGGAGGGCAGGAGAGGGGGTCTCGATGACCCACCATCCCCACCACTGCTGCCACCAGCAGGAATTTTACTTGGGTGACCGAGTGGGTGATGGTGCCATTGACTGATGATTCTAGAAGGGAGTGGAGAGAGATGCTGGTTTCCATATTACACCTGCTTAGTGTGATGTGCCTGTGGACACCCAGAGGAGGAAGGCATCTCAGGCTGTGCCCTTCCTCCTGGAGCCTCTTGTCACTGAGCCACAGGGCCTCTACACCAACACTAAATCACTATACTGCTTTCCATTTAGATGACAATTTGATTTAAACAAATTCTGGTGGTGCAGGGTCAAAATTTTTCATAATCTGAAGTGATTTTTCTCTGTTTCCAGTCCACTGACTGGATGGCAGATTAAAATGTGAGGGTTTGACAAAAAGATAATGGAGCCGTGCCAGCCTTTAGTGTTTCAGGCATAAAATTAAATTCAACATGGTATCATGCATTTGAAGACTTGTCATCATAAGGCTGGCCAGACAAATATGCTTTAGAGGGTTTGGTTTTGAGAATGAGTAGGAGAAATAAAATATGAAATATGATAATAGTGGAGACTAGACGTATTTTGAAAAACATTATCTGATGGTGTTAAGCCATCCTTTTTGAGCGCATTGTTTAATGCTGCCTTCTTTTCTGCCTGTTTGACCAAGGGACTCTGAAGTGTTGGACAGGTTCCACTACTGAAATATGCAAATTTAACATTCCCTCTCCCCACATCTACACCACCCCTTTCTTTCTTTCTTTTCTGTTTTTTGAGACAGTCTTGCTCTGTCGCCCAGGCTGGAGTGCAGTGGTGTGATCTCAGCTCACTGCAACCTCCGCCTCCCAGGTTCAAATGATTCCCCTGCCTCAGCCTCCCAAGTAGCTGGAATTACAGGCGTGTGCCACCATGCCTAGTTAATTTTTGTATTTTTAGTAGACACTGGGTTTTGCCATGTTGGCCAGGCTGGTCTCAAACTCCTGGCCTCAGGTGATCTGCCTGCCTCAGCCTCCCAAAGTGCTGGGATTACAGGCATGAGCCACCATGCCTGGCCCCTTTCTTTCATCTCTCCTAATTTTTTCGACATTCTCCTACCCATTTTCTCCTTTCCTGGGCCTTCAATTTGTGCCCACCTCCACCCCCATCCTCACCCCCCATCTTCTTGTTAGCTGCATAGTTTGGTCTGGCTATAGACTTTCCAAGTTCTGAAGGTAAAACTGACATCAAGTTCTTCCCATCTGGTCTACTGAGTGCACCCTGCAACCTTAGCCTAGGCACTTTGGCACCTTCTGTTTTAGCGGCTGTCTCTGTCCATGGTGGGCTTGGTGTCTTGTTGCTTCTGTTCCTCTGAGTGAAGTGTTCAAAGCCTCAGACTCCTGAGGCTCAGCTCTGTGCCCTGGCCTTCGAGGCTTGTCACTTCTGCCGATATAAGAAGTGAAATATAGGTCAGCCTCACAGATCCCAGTGTTAAAAATAAAAGCTTCATCCCCAGGCTCTGCAGGTCTGTAGATTGGCATGGGTTCCCCCACTTTCCAGCAACCACTCTTCTAAATTGCTTCTTGGAGCTTAGTACTGATGCCATCCGCTATGCAAGAGGGAACCTGAAAATAGAAGAGGAGCTGAGATCGTCTCCCTTGGCAAATGCCATTCCAAAATGTGAAGATTGCCTGAATGGAAATTGTAAATAGCAGCACTGAGCAGGTTTCCTCCCTGTCGGGTTAGGAGGGTGGGCTGCTGGTGAGGGGAGGGTGGGTCCTGGGGGGAGCCTGGAAGGAGTCCCTCTCCCTCTTAGGACCACCCAGACCCCTCCTGTGGCAGCCAAGTGACCACGCACTGAGATTCCTAAGTATTTTGATGAAAGGACTTCTCCTCCCTCTCTCTGCTTTCCCATTCTTAGTCCTTGCATTTGAGCTTTCTCAGAAGATTTAGCTGCTTTTCTGTGATATGAAAACTGAGGAGGTTGAAAAGCAGGGCCTTTGAATTTATTTTTAGTATCTGCACATTTCTCTCTTCCTGCATTCTCTCACTTTCTTCTCTCCCTTCTCCTTTCTCTTCTGATTTCCCGCTTTCTCTCCCTGCACTGTCATTCTCTTTTGCCCTTCTTAACTCCTGCAAAACGGGGAGATAAGTTTTCCTCCACATAAGAAGCCAGGGCCTCTGAGAAGCTTGTCTTTGAACAGATGCCTCAGCCTTGCCCCTTTCTCAGGTCTCATTTTTCGGGCGAGTCTGTGCTTGACAAGAGACTGCGTTATCTTGTGGGAGGACCCTAAGGAGCCAGGGTACTTGACATTTAAAGCTTTTCATAAACAGTGTCTTCAGTGCTTGGCAAACCTTGAACCCTCCCAGCTGGCAGCAACGAGGCTTTCTCATCAGGACTGGCTCAGCCTCGGATGTGACATTTTCCCAGGGCCTCAAGGAAATGGAATACGCCCTGTCTGCCTTTTAATCCCTCTCAGTTGGATTTTCATAGACTTCTGTCAGGGGGGTATGTGCTGGCTGCTTTTCCTATAAACTGGAGTCAGGGGAAAAGGGGAAGATGGCTGAGGGGGGAGGCAAATATGGATGCATTTAATACACATTTGGCAGGTCAAGCAGAAATATCATTGGTTACATAGTTTTTTGATGCTATCCTCCAGGCCAAATTAAATGACTTCTTTGGGAGTAGAGAAGGGCTTAAAAACAGTGATTTGGGTGACACCCTATGAACATTCTAACCTGAAACCCTTCCCCGCAGGTGACTCAGCCCACAAAGAGCCACACTCCTGGCAGATGTGGGAAATGGACACTATCACTGTCAGAGTCCACCCGCGTGACTCTGGGGCGCACTGCTTTGTGCCTTTAAATTCAGCCCTGCCACTGGCTTATGTCATGACCTTGGGCTACTCAGGCTGTCTGCACAATGAGCCAGTTGGACAGGAGCAGTGCCACTCAACTCTGGCCATACACAGAACCCCCCACCCCCACCCCAGGGAGCTTTTAACACACATAGCCATCTAGAGAATGTGGATTAATTTGGTCTCAGGTGAGGCTTGGGTGGCTGTAAAAGCTCCCCAGGTAACTCTCACATGAAGTAGGTGAGACATGCTCCCTAGACACATGTCTCTCAAACTGGAATGTGCACAGGAATCACATAGGATCTTGCTAAAATGCAGACTCCAGTCCTGTGGTTTTCAGTGGGGCTGGGGATTCTTCTCTTCCCATGTGCTCCTGGGCAAACTGATGGTGTGGGTCCCCAGAACACACTCTGCACAGCCAAAGTCTGGATGGTCTTTAAGGTCCCTGCAGTTCCTTACTGAGTTTTCTTGGTGAGGAGAGGGCAGGGAATTAAGTAAAAGATATATTTTAATGGTAGCAAAGAGGACCTCCCTTTTATCACTGGGGTAAAGTCATGTCATTTTTGGGAAAATGTGATGCAGTATTTGGTGGGTAGGATTCAATTTGTATCCATTTTCAACACTGGAGTAAGTTTATTTAGGGGGAAAAAGGGAAACAGATGTAGCTGTGTGTGTGAAGAATGGGGAAGAGAGAGAAGCGTGAAAGAACTGAGTGGATGTGTGTGTGCTCACAGGGCGAGGATTCCATGCAAACAAATACATAGGCTTCTCCAGGTCCAGTTTTGGTGAGGGGACAGGAAAAGGGACAGATATTGTTCAGCTGGGATTTAAGGTGAAGATCATGCTCCCTGGAACAACCCAAAGGCTGGAAGATTCCATCTCCTCAGCCCCATCTCTTTCTGGTGCTAAGCAGCCATTTGTTCCAATTATCCTTGAATTATAGTGACAGCTTTTGGTTTATGCAGGCCTTCAAATCATCCTAACCTAGTAGAAGAAGTAAAATGATGCCTTTATTGACAAGAACATTTCAGCTGGCTGGTTTTAAAAGACTCTCTTCTTCCCACCTATTCCCACGTCCCTGTGCTTCCACCTCACTAAGAGCCACAGACACCATTTTGGAGTGTCAAGATCTTGCCTGATTTTGCATATATATATATATATATAATTTTTTAAAATTCAAGGTCAACCTTGAGAGATATTGCTTGTATTCTGCCTTCTGTTTTCCCTAATCCTTATAGAACTACAAATTCCCATACATGAGCAGATTTTCCTGGTTTAAAATTATATTTAACTAAAGTTAAATACTTCAGGCCTTGTGATGGTGATTCTCCTGCCCACAGACTTATGGGGATTTCTTTTGCTTTAAAGCAGGTCTTTAACAGGGCAGTATTTCTTGCTAAAATCCACAATCCAGGGTTTTGTCACTGTTCTATTTTTAGAAATTCTTCCAATTTGTAGTCTAAAGGAGAGGAATGTTTTTCTAACAAAGATATTTTCCAATCTAGAGAAAAGAGGCTGGGCGTGGTGGCTCACGCCTGTAATCCCAGCACTTTGGGAGGCGGAAACTGGCAGATCACAAGGTCAGGAGATCAAGACCAGCCTGGCCAACATGGTGAAACCCCATCTCTTCTAAAAATACAAAAATCAGCTTGGCGTAGTGGCGCGTGCCTGTAATCCCAGCTACTCGGTAGGCTGAGGCAGGAGAATTGCTTGAACCAGGGAGTCAAAGGTTGCAGTGCGCGGAGATTGCACCAGTGCACTCCAGCCTGGTGACAGAACAAGACTCCGTCTCAAAAAAATAACTAACTAACTAAATAAAAGTAAAAGATTCAAAAGATTTTAAAGTTATTAATCCTTGTGCTCTGAAACAGACATTTATAACTTTAAAACAGCATATATAGGGACCTTACCTCCCTGACTGATGTACATAGGATTTGGCTTTTCTCAGTCCTAAGAGATTTAAAGATTTAGTGAAACATAAAGAACATATTTTAAGCAATATCAATATGCAGGCCCAATGTAAATGTCCCCATGAATGTCGAATGCAAGTAGTTAGTCCTCAAACTCCTCTTCTCTTAGCCGGGTATGGTGGTGCATGCCTGTAGTCCTAGCTACTAAGGAGGCTGATGTGGGAGGATTGCTTGAGGCCAGGAGTTAGAGGCTGCAGTGAGCTATGATCACGCCACTGCACTCCAGCCTGAGCGACAGAGTGAGACTCTGTCTCTAAAATACAAGTTAAATGAAAAACTCCTGTTCTGTGTCACACATTTGTTGATTTTGCTCATTTATTTATTCCACCGATACTTATTATGGGCTTATTGTATGCTTTATGATGGGTTTACACAGCTCTTTGTGAAGCCCTGAAGATACCATGGAAAACAAAAACAGACCTTGTTCTCATGAAATTTGAAGACTGGGGAGGAAGACATAGTCACAGAGGTTAATATGTAAGTGCTGTGAGAGGAGGGAACACGGATCTAAGAGCATATAACCAAGAAACCAGCCTAGCCTGGGCTGACTTGCTGAATGTTTCACTAGTTGGGGAACTCTGGGAAAGGTAAGTTCTTTGGCATTTGCTGCCCAAGGTTTAGAGGAACTCTGTGCTAGAGAGCCCTTGGCAAACAACTTCACTTTGGCCTTAAACATGAGATTCACTACCTGTAAAATGGACTTCTGAGTCCTCCCTACCTGTCCACCTAGCAGACCGTTTCGTCAGAGCTTCCTCTTCTCCAACAGTGCTTTCTTTTAAACAGACATAATGAACTGCCTTTTGGTTTCATGACTTTTTTTTTTTTTTGCTACAAGCAGCTCTCTTGTGGCTGGCAAAAGTAAAGCCATATTCTCGAGGACTCAAAAGACTCTCCATGGCTTCCCTGGATCTTGAAGAACATTTTTTCTCCAAGTAATTTTATTAGCCTGGGTGGACACTTGCAGTCAGTGTCACCATTACATTCTTAATCTTTACAAAGTGTGCTTATTTGCTTCTAATTTTGAATGTCTTTTTATTCCCTTTACTTCTTGCATGTGTGAAGAAGTAATTGTTACACAGATGTTTTGGAGATAGTGTTTGGTCCTGTGTTACTCCTGCAGGGTGTAGGTAGCTCCTCCTTGTTCTCAGTCTGTCGACTCAGCTACTTTAAACACAGAGGATGGGGAGATGGATCTCAAAGTTATCAATGTGGAAGACCATGTCTGTAAGTGCCCCGGCCCTCCCAATGGCCATCCCATGCCAACTCTGGCTCTCAGCCACCTTACTTGATAATATTAATGAAAGCAAATATTTTTGTGGGCAGACTGTGTGCGATCCATTGAGTTGTGTACTTTATGGACTATTTTGTGTAATCCCCACTACAATTGTTCACAGTAAATCCTCTTAATATTCCCACTTTTCCAGATAAGGAAATCAAGGCACAGGGAAGTAACTTGCTACAGTTATACAGCTAATAAACGTAGAGCTGGGATTTGAACCCATGAAGTCTGATTCCAGAGTTCCTACCCTTAGCCACTATACTTAACATTGCCTCTGAAATAAATATAATATGTGCTTGGGGTATAAAGCCCAGTCATTTCAAATAAATAACTCCCAAATCAGCATGAGACTAAAGTTGACAGCTTTAAACAGCATATAGTTCTTTAATGACTTCTAAAGCAATGATTTCTAATGTGTTAGTATCACAACTGTCCTTCAACATGAATCTGTGAAATAGTTGGATGATTTAGAGTGAAGTTGTATAATGTTGGTATTTGAGACTATTTCTCTGAGTCTAGTTTCACGATATGGTTTCTGTCCACCAAGTGGGATGTGTGTTTTTGTAATATGAAGACACTGAGCTGTTTCTAAGAAGGAAACATTGCCTGTTTGGCCCAACTTGTGTTGTTATTTACTTTTCTATTTATGTAAATGTTTTACTTTCTTAAATAGTAAAGGAGTGAAGGATGTGCCATCCCAAAATATCCCAAATTGGTATATTCATTATTTTGATCTAAAAACATTGGAGAAATTGTAGTTTTAAGAGAAGCCTAGCTGGCCTGTATTTTCCTGCCTGTAGCAAGCCATAAAGATTCTTTTGGAAGGGGTGCTTTTTCCCTACCAGGGTGAGAGACTATTCCTTATCACCCCGGACTGGGATTTGGTGTTGCAACAGGCCTGAATAAATAGACTTTCTGAAGTAACCACTATATTCCACTAGCTTTACACCCTCCATATATCTCCTAGCGACTCCCTAGAGTTTACTCTCTATCCAGAGCCCCTTGTCATTTCTTCACAAATTTATCATTCTTTGTCTCAGAAGTATAAAACTAGCTTGCCTTGGCCACTTCTTTGAACTTTGCTGTCTTGTGAAGAGCCTCATGTACAAGTAAAACTAATAAAAACTTGTATGCTTTTCTCGTTAACCTGCCCTGTGTCAGGCTGGTTCCTAGACCTAGTCGAATTGCCCCCATAAGAGCTCAGGGGAGGCGGAGGCTATCTTTTCCTCCCACACAGTAGACTGTAAGCTGCTTGAAAATGGTGTCATTTAGTGACTCATGCACTGTAGAGAAGAATACTTATTGGTGATGGTGGTGACGAAGATAGAGCCACTGCTGTCTCTTTCCCCTGGCCTTTTCCACTGAAGTTCAGAGTACATTACTGGATGCCCCACTAAACTGGACCAGTTCTGCAGTCTACTGATAAATGCAGCAAATTGCATTCTTTGTTTCTCCCCATTTTGTTTTCTTCTTCCCCTAACCTCGGTAAACTCACTTGTACCATTTCTTGGGCCTCAGAGTAGGTTAGGACCGTCCATAGTGGGTAACCATCTGCAGACTTAAGAACATACTCTTTAATTCCACTTTTCTGGAGTAATAAAGATGCTTTGCAACTTTTTTGCCCTTGTGCCTCAGGGATTGCAGCAGATGTGTTAAGTCTCAGCTGGGCAGGTGTTAAGACTAAACACCATTGCCCATTGATTATTTAAACTTAACGTTTAAATTCCTGGCATGCTTGGCTTGGCTAAGTAGAAATAGACACAGCTGAATGTGACGTCCTCATCCAGCTGGTCCAAAGAAACACTGGGTAGAAATAATGAAGGTTCTTTTGAGTGTCCCCTCCCCCTCCTCTCCCCCGTGCCCTGTGCTTGCTCAAAGTCAAGGCATGCCTAGGCCTGAGTCTATCAATTCTCCCAGGGGCAAGTGTTTCCCTCTTGTTTCTGGACAATGGATGGGCCCTTTTCATCGTTTCCCTTTCCCTGCTTTGACTCTGTCTAGATTCTACTTCCCATTTAAGACTTGAAATTAATTATTTCTCTTTTAGGTTAAAATGGGCTCAAGGAACTGATTAAATTCCTCCCAGCCCTAAGTCCTCTGCTCTTCTGTGGGACTACTGCTTCATACAGCAACATGAACAAAAGCTTTCACTTAAATCCCCAAGTAATTCATTTTTTTCCTCAGCAGTAATCTTCCTGCCTTCCACAATTGATTGAATTTGTCCTTTTTGAGAATAGCTCAACTGTGGTCTCAAAGATCAGCTCTTCCTCTCTCTCTTCCTGATTCCATAGGTCTGAATTGCAGCCTTTCTGTGGCTGCTGGTTTCCTTGTTTTAACCCTACTATTCCAAGCTTTTGCCCCCTATGGTTCTTGTTTTCTCCTAGTGCCAGTGGCAGGAATGAAGTACCATGGGAAATCCTTTTATAGAAAGAGAGGTGCAAAGACAGTTGGCCAATGGCGTATTGATGGCTGCCTGGTCTGCTGATCGTAATCCATAATGTTTGCAATTATAGGAAGCCTTGCAAGGGCTGGCATAACAAAAATGACAGCTGGTATCTGTTTGATCACTTACTGTGTGCCAGCCACAATTTTAAATACCTTAATAAACAGCTCATTTAATCTTCACAAAATCCTGTGAGGAAGCTACGGTTATCACCCCCATTTTATATAAGAGAAACGTAAGTGAGGTTTGGAGAAGTTAAGTAGTTAATATGTGGTAGAGCTGGAATTTAGACCCAATGGGTCTTGTTCTAAAACCTTTGTAGCAGTGGGTAAGAGAAAGGGATGAGCTTTGGAGCCAGGGAGTCTGTGTGAGCTCTGGCTCTAACATTTATTAACTGTGAGACTCAGGCAGGCTTTAACCTTCCCAAGTGCCAGTTTCCTCATTTGCATTTCTAATGAATATCATCTATCCCTCAGAGTGATTGTAATAAGCATGGTTATAAAGTGCTTAGCACAGTGCCTGGTACATAGTAGGTGCTCAATATACATATTTATAGTAATATTGAAATGGGGGAGTTCCCTTTCCCCCTCGCCAGGAGTGTGACAGGAGTGATGGACAGCAAGATGGATGGGGAGCCAGAAGCAGGGGATGGAGTGGGAAGGTCGTCTTTCTTGGGGGGCAGGTTGCCCAGACTTTTCTCTAACTGCCCCCCAACCGAACTCCCCTTGGTGCCTGTGTCATTCCACTGTTGCTGGTCTGTGGGTGTGTTCCCCGTTCCTCCTCTCCCCCTGACGCCCTTGTGTCTGCGTCCACTTAAGGTCTCGGGTTTATATGGCAACAGGATTGGGGGTGTGGTAGGCCAGAGGGGTCTTGGAAAATGCAACCCTTGAGTGTAAAAGTGGGAGTGCCTATTCTCGCTTGGGTCCATGGGCGCAGGACCAAGGGTGGAGCCCTTGCCAGGGACCCCGCTCTTCTCTACTCAGCACCTCCCTTGCTCTTTCCCGTATCAATGTTAGTTCTGCTTGGATATTGACTCTTTCCATTTACTCTATCATGTCTTCTTCAAATGTCTTCAAAACTTTTGGTCTCTTGCCTTTACCTTGTCAGTCACCTTTTGTTTGTCCAGACTTCTGTGGAATAGAGAAAAATATATGAAGGAAGGGCTTGTGGTATGGAATGCAATAATCAATTGGTACAGCTGATATGCTTCAAGAAATTAAGACAAGAACCTGATTGATCTGAAGAGAGAAAATTCAGGTTTAACTAGAGCATAAAAATATGTCATCGTGGTCTCAGATGAAAGCCAAAGAGAGAAAAAAGGGCAAAGTGTACATCAGACAATGAGAATTCTCTCCAGGAAAGACACATTTATGGAGTCTCATCTCATCAAAAACACTTTTCCTCTTAATTGGCTGAAAGCCACTCCTCAGCCTAAGAGAGCTCTAGCCTGGTCATCTGGGATGTCCTTTTGAGTATTTTCCTCTGGTTCCCATTTTCCTGCAATCTGGTATTGCTTCCATAGTTTTCTAATTCAGTGATAATGGAAACGATTCAGTCCCCCACTTTCTCTCCGGTACTGCTCAGCATGTGTGACTCCAGTTGCCATAGGATCTCAGTTCTGGTATTTTGGACTGTGGGTAACAGTTTCATAAAGCAATTTTTAAGAAAAATGAAAACTCATATAGCACTTATTGTGAGCCAGGCACTGCTCTATGCCCTTTATAGATATTAAGTCATTTAATTTTTAGAACAACCTAGTAGACAGGTACTATACTTTTTGCCATTTTGCAAACAAAGAAACTGAAGCATAGAGAGATTCAATAACTTGCCCAAGGTGATATGGCCAGTATTTGGCAAAGTGAGAATTTGACTCTACTTAGCCCGCATTTAGTGTCTAGCCTCTTAACCACCACTCTGTACTGCCTCTTACCTACCTCAGTGATATGCAGTATTATCTGATACTTTCCATTTGAGTCCATACTCCATACTTTTAATTTTAAAAATGGTATCTGGGTGTGATTCATGAAATGATCTCACCACTTTATAATGGGTACCAACACAAAGTTTAAAAATCATTGGGCAGGGGTGGGAGGAGAGAGGATTGGGAAGAATAGCTAATGGGTGCTGGTCTTAATACTTAGGTGATGATCTGTGCAGCAAACCACCATGGCACACATTTTAACTATGTAACAAACCTGCACATCCTGCACATGTACCCCTGAACTTAAAGTCGGGAAAAAACAAACAAACATTGGGTTAGACCCTCTCTGTTGTGAGATGGACACATCAGCCTGCCTTTGCCTGGTGCCTGAAACATTCCATTCATGTCTCTCCTTGTTCTGAGCCGTGCTCACCCAGCAAGTCACTGCTTAGGATTTGGCCTCCCGCTGAGGTCTGCCTGCAGGGAAATAATGTATTGGTTACGTGGACTTTTGAGTCTCCCCATGAATTAGAAAACCATCTCTCTGGTTTAGGCTGTGAGGCTAGATAATGTGAATCTGTCCCCAAGAAATGGGTTCTTGAGAAATGTAGTCACCGGATCAGACATCAGTGCCAGCGAGGCTGAGGACTGTGAGGACCTTGAAGATTTTTGTCAAGGTCCACCCTGTGACATCTTTTGTTGGATAGCTTGCAAGATTTCTTCCTGGGGTGGTGAATCCTAGCCCTGAGGACTGACTGTGGGAACATGATTTAAATGACTACAGCACTTAGCACTTTTTCCATAGCCAGAAATAGGGCTCAATACCCCTGTTTTTTCTCCCTGTCCTCATTTACTCACGTATCTTTCTACAGAAAAGAAAATGATGTTACTTTCCCACCTCAGCTTTATTATACTGCATGAATAAATGCAACACATCACCTCCAAATAATTGATTGAAATGCAATCCCTTTCCCTCTCGCTCCACCCAGTCTCTCTCCTAAGATGGTATCTAGTGGGGCCATGTCTTCATGCATTATGCATCTCTATGATTATGCAATAACTTCTCGAAGACTAGCAAGTGATACCTAAATTCTTCAAGCATGTTATTGATGCTAAATAATTAATTACATCTTTTATTTATAAAAATTTACTTGCTGGAAGTTCAGACATAAGTTCTGCCAACCCATCTTCTCTATTAGATTTCAACTTCCCGGCATGAAGTCTGAAAACTCACCTACAGATTTCAGTCTTTGAAAGCCCTTAGGCAGGCAGCCAGCATGAAGTTGGGCATTCCAGACAAGTGAGACTGGCTTTAAGCCAACAGATACCTGTACTGACCTCTTCCCACGGTCGTGGGGATACAGCTTGCCAAGGCCTTAAGTGCCTGGGGAAACCTATTTCCAACTTTAATGCATTAGTAACTGCTGTGTCCTAAATGATGAGCAGTTAGGGACTTTTTGTACCTGAGTAAATGTAATCAGGTGATTGGAGAAGTTGTTAAACCCTCCTAGTTTGTATGAGTGGGAGGATAATATAAGTAAAAAGAAATATGGGTAACCGTCTGGGGAACAGACTGCATGATCAAAACATTTTGTTTTGTCTTTTAAAACATATTTGGGAGAAATTGTAAACAGACAAAATAAATGTAACTATCATGGTCAACAAATACAATTATTGATGTAATCAAGAGATAACTTTTTTCAGCCAGGCGCCATGGCTCACACCTGTAATCCCAGCAATTTGGGAGGCTGAGGCA
Organism: Homo sapiens; assembly: GCF_000001405.40. NCBI lineage: Eukaryota > Metazoa > Chordata > Mammalia > Primates > Hominidae > Homo > Homo sapiens. The sequence goes on along the minus strand of NC_000004.12, from coordinate 82,744,071 downwards.
GGCGGATCTGTTGAGCTTAGAACTTTGAGACCAGCCTGGGCAACATGGAGAGACCCCATCTTTACTAAAAATAGAAAAATTATCCAGGTGTGGTGGTGCGTGCCTGTAGTCCCAGCTACTCAGGAGGCTGAAGTGGAAAGATGGCTTGAACCTGGGAGGGTTGCAGTGAGCCGAGATTGTGCCACTGCAACCCAGCGTGGGTCATAGAGCCAGACCTTGTCTCAACAGTGACAACAACAACAAAGAAGTTAGTGGCCGGGTGTGGTCATGCCTGTAATCTCAGCACTTTGGGAGACCAAGGCGGGGGGGATTGCTTGAGGCTAGGAGTTCAAGACTAGCCTGGGCAACATAGTGAGACCCTGTCTCTACATAAAAATTAAAAATTAGCCAGGCATGGTGGCACGTGCCTGTAGTCCCAGCTACTTGGGAGGCTGAGGTGGGAGGGTCGCTCAAGCCTGGGAGGTAGAAGTTGCGGTGAGCCCGTGATTGCACGACTGCACTCCAGCCTGGGTGGCATATCTAAAAAAAATTAAAAAATATATATATATAACTTTTTTCCTGTTGCCCTTTTATACTTTAATAGGCTGAAGTGCAGTGGCATAATCACAGTTCACTGCAGCCTTGACCTCCTGGGCTCAAGAGATCCTCCTGCCTCACCCTCCTGAGTAGCTGGGACTACAGGTATGAGCCACTATACCCCACTAATTTTTGTTTTTTATTTTTTGTAGATACGGGCATCTCACTGTGTTGCCCAGGCTGGTCTTGAATTCCTGACTTCAAGCAGTCCTCCCACCTCGGCCTCCCAAAGTGCTGGGATTGCAGGTGTGAGCCACTGAGCCTGGCTCAACTAATTTTTAGGAAATAGACTATCCTCCTGTCACTCTAAGTTACAAGCTCTGTCTCAATTCAGAAATTAGAATGACCAGCCCAAGCTGATAATCGAACCTTTGAACTTGATTTAATGTTTATCATCCCCTTTCTCATCTCAGGCCTGGATCCAACTGGGAGTCTCAGTGGAAAGGGCTGGGGGCTAGGTGGGAGCCTCTCTGTAGCTTCTCTCTGTCTACGCGTCTTTCTCTCCTTACACATTCTCAGTGTGCTAGCTAGTTTCTGAATCCCCAGGACTGGGTGGGTAATTGGGGAGTTAGGGATAAGGGAATTGGAAAGGTTGCTTTCCACTCCCTGAGCCTGGCCAGTGTTTGACATGTTGGACATTGTGGTGGGCTCTTCAGAGACCCGCATCATTGGTGAGCTCTCTCCTGTAATTGTCTGGACATATAAAGATGCATTGTTTTTTTGGAGACAGAATCTCACTGGAGTGCAGTGGCACAATCTCAGCTCACGGCAACCTCCACCTCTCAGGTTCAAGCGATTCTCATGCCTCAGCCACCTGAGTAGCTGGGATTACAGGCATGAGCCACCATGCCCAGCTAATTTTTGTATTTTTAGTAGAAACGGAGTTTTGCCATGTTGGCCAGGCTGGTCTTGAACTCCTGGCCTCAAGTGATCCACCCACCTCGGCCTCCCAAAGTGCTGGGATTACAGGTGTGAGGCACCATGCCCGGCCAGAAAGGTGCATCTTTATTTCAGGTGTTATCTGGGGATTTATTTATTCTAAGACCCCAGCAATCCTGTGCCCACCTCTAGTTTCTTGCTGCTGGGGTCTCTCTGCCTCTCCAGTAGGTGGCCCTGTGAGACAGGACCCGGTCAGACCTCACACCAGCTCTCTCTTCTGAGTGGCCACGTTTGGTCCCCAGGGCACACTCTACTCAGGAAAACCCAGAAAGGCAGACTAGCTCCTGCATGCCCCTCTAGCCTGCTGTCATGGCCCACTCTGGGTGTCACAGGCATGCCTCTGGGACCTGAATGTCTGCTGGTTCCAGCTGTAGTGAAACTACTTTAAAGCTCCCCAAGTGGTCCACACAAGCTGCCTGACTGGGCTTGGAATGAAGAAGATACAACTCTTGCCCATCTTTCTTTTTTTTTTTTTTTTGAGACGGACTCTCTTCTGTCATCCAGGCTGGAGTGCAGTGGTGCGATCTCGGCTCACTGCAAGCTCCACCTCCCGGTTTCACGCCATTTTCCTGCCTCAGCCTCCTGAGTCGCTGGGACTACAGGCATGCCCATCTTTCTTTGGGGGATTTTAAGGGGGACACTACAGCTCATTAACAGCTCCCCCAACAAAAGCTCTTCACCTATCTGCCCACTCCCCCCCCCCGCCCACTCTGACCCCTTTTCATATCCTTGATCTGGAGGAGGCATCCAAGAGTGACGGAGCCAGGTCTCAATAATTTCCTTTGTGAATTCTGTGTAAGGGGGTCTGTTTCACAGTCATGTAGGTATCTGATATCTATCATATTGGTGCCTCAATTAAAATGGAGGCAGAAAGAGCCCTATTCTAATATCTCATTCCATAAACAATAGAGACAAAGGCAAAAGTGTGTGTTTTAGTTCTCTATTGCTGCCTACCAGCCAGAAATGGAGTGGTTTAAAACAACATCGATAGACTATTTCTCATGATTCTTTGCTGGCTGGTCAGTTCCTCTGCTGGTCTCACCTGGGCTGGCTCATGCAGCTGCCGTCACTCACACAGCTGGTGGTTGGCACTGACTGTTGGTTGGGCGCCTTGGTTTTCTGTCTCATGGCTTCTCATTCCCTGGTAGGTGACAATGGTTTCCTTTCAGAACAAGCATGGCAGTGTTTCGAGGGACCAAAGTGCAAGCTCCAAGGCCTCTCAAGGCCCAGGCTCTGAAAGTCACACAGCATCACTTTCATACATTCTATTGACCAAACAAAACCACAAGACCAGCCTAGATATAAGAAGTGGGAAAAGAGGCTGGGCGCAGTGGTTCATGCCTGTAATCCCAGCACTTTGGGAGCTGAGGCGGGCAGATTGCTTGGGCCCAGGAGTTTGAGACCAGCCTAGGCAACATGGCAAAACTCTGTCTCTACGAAAAAAAAAAAAAAAAAAATTAGCTGGCACACGCCTGTAGTCCCAGCTACTTGGGAGGCTGAGGTGGGAGGATCACTTGGGCCTGGGGCCTAGAAGGCAGAGGCTGCAGTGAGCTGTGATTGCACCACTGCACTCCAGCCTGGGTGACAGAGCGAGACCCTGTCTCAAAAGAAAAAAAAAAAAAAGAATTGGGAAAAGAGACTCCACCTTAGTCTTAGTCTTTCACCCTCCCCTATAGTTTCTAACACAGAATTCTGCCTCTGTCAGTTCTGGTTCTAGACTTTTTCTGAGCAGATTTGGGGTAAAGGATTAGGGGAAGAATTAAAAGTTATCTCTACATTGGTTTACATTTTGCTTACATTTGGAAGGGTAGAAGGAAGAGAAAAGAAAGATTCAGAAGTTGAGAGGAGGGAGGAGAGAAAGTAGAGCCAACTGTGGCGGACCTTGGAAAAGCACTGCAGGGGATAGACCACACATTGGGAACTGGGAGTCCTTGGTTTAGAGAATAGGGTTCCAGGCCAGGCAGGTGCTTTCATTAATGAAGTTATCGGTAAGTCAATATGTCTGTCTGAGTTGGATGAATGATACCCTCCAAAGCTTATTGTGAAAATGAACTTCACTATAGATTGGATTCCCCCTTGGGGCCTGGCTAAAGCCACACTATGAGATGTTAGCCTGATACTGGCTCCATAATACCCAAACCCAGCCTGAGATCCTCCCCGTCCACCTGCCCCAGTGGACAAACCTTGCACTCCCATCCTTTCTCCCCTCTGACTTTTGTGCTCCTAGGGAAGGTGATCAACAGCAAGGCGAGGTGCTGGGTGCTGGCAAAACAACCTCGCCTTCAGGTTCCAGGTTTCTGGAAGAGGTGAATGACAGAAGAGGGAATCAAGTTGATTATTTCCTCCATGTCTCCGCTCTACTTTGGGCGCTACATTCAAAGCTCAGGTTTTTCATTTTAAAAATAATTGCTAAAGTCCTTAGGGGGTAGATGCTTTATGTGTGCTTATCTCGAGTTTAAGTTGAAAGGACCTGTGTTTCCCATCAGATGCCCCCAGCAGGAATGGCATTGGAGGCTGGTGATATTTGAAGGGCAGGTCAGATTGCTGAGACATGAAGTGGCTGGGCTGGTGTTGAGCCGACACAGGTGAGCAGGCTCAGGCTGCAGATTGTTGAAGCAGATAAGCAAGCGGTGGGGATGGAGAGGGGTCGGGACCTGCACTCGCCTTAGATTTTAAACACATCAAGTCCATGGAAGAATTTATTTTCTACTTTCAGAGAACAGATATATGCCTCTCTTTAAGAGAATATGCTGTGCTAAAAAAATTATCAAGTTTTCATCGTGGCTTTTCACGATCAGCATGGCTAAGCAGAAGCCTGTCCAGCTGCGTCTAACTCTACGTGCTTCCTAAATTACCCTGTAATCCTCTTGTCCTCTTCCAAGCCTTGGCCGATCTGAATCATAGTGCATTTCTTTCAGCACACACATGGCAATAGATACTTCAGAGCATCGTTGGGGTGAGTTTTGTGTGCGTGAATGCCTGTGCCCTGGCCTGGGCCACCACCGCACACAACCAGCAGGCGGAGTGTGGCTCTACCAGCCACGACCTCCCTCCAGGGCAGTGCGGGGAGGCCACCGGCAGGGGGTGCTGCACCCACACTGCTGGCACCAGTACGTGGGCATTACCAGGCTTCATAAATTGCTGGAAATTTAAAGCTGGAGGGGATGTTAGAAACCGTATCATCCACTGGTTTCCATTCGCTCGTGAGGAACCCATGATCCCGAGAGTTGAGTTTGTGGTGGAAATGGAGCTAAAATAGAGCCCTCTCCACTTCCAGGCCAGGACCTCCACCTTTCACATCCCCACTGCCTTCCCCTGGCATGACTACAAATGTCTTACCAGTGTTGAGAGGGAAATGATTTGCATGTAGAAGAATCAGCAAGGACAAGAACAGGTACTTAGTGCTATTTGCCTGGGAAATCGCAGATTGAGGCTTTTTGCATTTGGCCCCAAAGTCACAGTCAACCCGCAACTAGTAGGGGTAAGATTATTATTTTTTAGTGATTATATTTAAAAATAGCACACTTGGGGAAAAAATTACAGTTTGCTACAAATCATCAAAACATTTGCCCATCCTCTGAGAGGCCATATGTTGTAGTGTCAGTCCCCACCTCTGTTATTACTAGCTGGGTGATCTTGGCCAAATTTCTAAACTCCATTTTGCCTCATCTGTAAAATGGGGTTGGTGAAGATTAAATGAGATAAGACATAGGCAGTGCTTTTTAGGGTCACAGCGTATCCTAAGTACTCAACAAGTGCCAACTGTAATAATAATGGGAGCCATTTGGCATCTATAACTTGGAACTGCTATGTAGTTGTATCTACTACAGTGGAGAAATGTTCCCTCTCACCAGTTGGATATGTAGCTGTTGGGTGTAGCTTCTCTATGGTCTACCAGGATCCTCTCCAGAGACCATAGTTGTGGCCAGGAGTTGGCTAAGGTGAAGGAGTGAAGAGTAGGTATGGAAGGGTGGAAGGAATGGGTGAGTGGCTTTTAGTCTAAGCTGGCAAGTAAGAAAGAATTGAGAAAGAGAGGAAGTGTGCTGGGATGTGTTCTTCCCCAACTGGGGATCTTTCTTATAGGCAAAAAAATAAATAATCAAAAGCCATGAAACAGACAGTGATAACTTTTTTTTTAAACGGAGTCTCACTCTGTTGCCAGGCTGGAGTGCAGTGGCACGATCTCGGCTCACTGCAACGTCTGCCTCCTGGGTTCAAGCGATTTTCCTGCCTCAGTCTCCCGAGTAGCTGGGACCACAGACGCACGCCACCACACCCAGCTAATTTTGTATTTTTAGTAGCGACAGGGTTTCACCATGTTGGCCAGGATGGTCAGTCTCCGTCTCTTGACCTCGTGATCCGCCCGCCTAGGCCTCCCAAAGTGCTGGGACTACAGGCATGAGCCACTGGGCCCGGCCGTGATAACTTTTTTTCAGGTAGAAATCTTTTGGTTCTTTTTTTATCAAGTATTTTGTGTGATGCTTACAGAATACATTTATTAAGTATTTTGTACAGCTCTTATTTTTTGTTGTTGTTTTACAATTTGGGTGATGCGTGCAAAAAGTAGATATAGTTCTAGATAGTGGATTTTTTTTTTTTTAGCTAATTAGATTGACCTCAGGTCCAATCTGTAAAGTGTTTCAAATACTTAAGTTTTGTTTAGATTTCTTTAATCTTATCCATGACCTTTTTTGCCCCCCAGCCTTCCTACCTCATTGTGCCATTGATAGCAACTTGACTTTGGTTTCTTCTCTTTTCAGAGTTTGATCCAGTGGTTGTAAAATGCTTTCAGATCACGACATGAAACTCTGCCTTAATAGAAAGGCACAATATAAATCAGAGATGGCCAGAAAGGCAAGCATGAAAATAGTATCCCTGATTTTTTTCCAGTAGCACATGATATAACATTGAATAATTGCTGGGTATATTTGACAAATTGGGATACAGTTCATTAGGGAGCTGGGGAACTTAAAAATCAGGCTGTCTTCAGGAAAATTTATGAGGGGATTACAGTGTGCAGCCACCAGAAAATGGGGCAGCAGGAACCTTGGCTGAATTGATGATCTGCCTGAGTGGGAGCTGCATCCATTGAGCAAAACTTTCTTTAGTCAAAGTGACTTAGAGGGAAAATTGTGATAAATAGAATGAATGAAAAAAATTAACATCCAGAATATCTAGAGAATGGAATTAAATCCACAAGTGCAATACTATTTCTACTGCATTAACAGTCAAAAAAAAATCTGAACATGTTCACACAAGAGGCATTACAACTAGAAAACAAATCCTTGGAAGAGGACTCAGCCTCCTTAGTAATTATAAGAAGTTAAAACACAAAACCATGCAATGCCGTTAAACTGGCAAATTATAATTACAAAATCAAAGTCTGGCAAGGCTTTTGAGAAAGTTATACCCTCATACAAACATAAATTAGTACAATATTTCTGGAAAGCAACATGGCGAAGTGTAGTAAACCATGGAACATCATATCCTTTGAGCTAGTATATGTTTGAGACTACATCCTGGAGAAACAAAGAAAGAAAAATAGGAAAAAAAACCCTAAAAATTATTTTAAAAAATTAAAAACAAACTATGGTCTGGCACGGTGGCTTACACCTGTAATCCCAACACTTTGAAAGGCTGAGGTGGGAGGATCACTTGAGCCCAAGAGTTCGAGACTAGCCTGGGCAACATGGCAAGACCCCGTGTCTACAAAATTTTTTTAAAAAATTAGCTGGGCATGGTGGCATGCATCTGTAGTTCCAGCTACTCAGGAGGTTAAGGTGGGAAGATCTCTTGAGCCCAGAAGGTCGAGGCCACAGTGAGTTGAGGGCATCACTGCACTCCAGCCTGGGCAACAGAGCAAGACCCTGTCTCAGAAAAAAAGAAACCCCAAAAGTATGTTGTAAAATGAAATATAATATTACTATTAAGAATGATTTTTTTTTTTTGAGGCAAAGTCTCACTCTTGTCCCCCAGACTGGAGTGCAATGGCGCGATCTGGGCTCACTGCAACCTCTGCCTCCTGGGTTCAAGTGATTCTCCTGCCTCAGCCTCCTGAGTAGCTGGGATTACAGGCAGCTGCCACCACGCCTGGCTAATTTTTGTATTTTTAGTAGAGACAGGTTTCACCATGTTGGCCAGGCTGGTCTCGAACTCCTGACCTCGGCTGATCCACCTGCCTCAGCCTCTCAAAGTGCTGGGATTACAGATGTGAGCCACTGCGCCTGGCTGAGAATAATGGTTTTTTTTTTGTTTTGTTTTGTTTTTTCTTAGACAGGGTCTTGCTCTGTCACCCAGGCTGGATGCAGTGACACAATCTTGTCTCACTGCAACTCCTGCCTCCTGGGCTCAAGTGATCGTCCCACCTCAGCCTCCAGAGTAGCTGGGACTACAGGCACATGCCACCACACCCTGCTAATTTTTTAATACTTTTTGTAGAGATGGTGTTTCGCTATGTTGCCCAGGCTGGTCTCGAACTCCTGGGATCAAGTGATCTGCCCACCTTGGTCTCCTAAAGTGCTGGAATTGCAGGCCTGAGCCACTGTGCGTGGCCAAGAATAATAAATTTGTGTGTTATAAAAACAAATAGAAAGGCTGATATAAAATACAGTAAGTCCTCACTTAACATCATTGACAAGTTCTTGGAAACTGTGACTTTAAGTGAAACGATGGATAATGAAACCAGTTTAACCACGGGCTAATTGATATGAATACAGAACTAAATTCCTACGACATATTTCTAGTCAAGGAAACATCACCACATTTCTAGATTAAGACCCAAAACACTTCTATTAAAAATGGAAATAACTGTGAGCTATACATGCATTTCGGTAATAAAAACAAGTAAGATAATTTTTTACCCAGTCTTTGGTGAATCGGTGAGTGACAGCAGTCATGTGGTGGGTAAGTCAAGGAATAAGTGTTTGCAATGAGAAAATTGTCAGGAGCCCCCCCTTCCACCATGCAGTTGAAAAACGAGCAGTAACGAATGTGGCGGCTCCTTGAGCGCTTTCGCACTGCGTCGTTTATTGTCGTGTATCTGTAGGATTATTCACTACTTTACAAATTTTTATTTTACTGTAATTTGTATCCATTTATTACCCAACCCGCTTATTGCACTTCAGGGTGGGAGGTAGCCAGAGCCTATCCCCAGCAACTCAAGGCACAAGGTGGTACCCAACCTTGGACAGGACACCATCCCACCATAGGGCCCACACATTCACACACACACAGTCATTCAGATCTGGACCGTGTAGACACGCCAATCAACCTAATGTACAACACACATCTTTGGGATGTGGGAGGAAACCAGAGTACCCAGAGAAAACCCATACAGACATGGGGAGAACTTGCAAACCGCACAGACAGTGGCCTCGGCTGGGAATCAATTTTCAAAAATCTCATCAACATTGTAACAAAACCATGTTGATCAAAATGACACTTTTTTGAGGACCTGCTATAATGCTAAATGAAAAATTGTTGAGCTCAGGCTGGGCGTGGTGGCTCACACCTGTAATCCCAGCACTTTGGGAGGCTGAGGTGGGCAGATTGCCTGAGCTCAGGAGTTCGAGACCAGCCTGGGCAACATGATGAAACCCCATCTCTACTAAAAAAAGTACAAAAAATTAGCTGGGCATGGTGGCACACACCTGTAATCCCAGCACTCTGGGAGGCTGAGGCACAAGAATTGCTTGAGCCCGGGAGGCAGAGGTTGCAGTGAGCCGAGAACGTGCCACTGCACTCCAGCCTGGGCAATAAAGTGAGACCCTGTCTCAAAAAAAAAAAAAAAATTGAGCTCAACTTTATAAATATTGACTATAGGCTTGTTTTAAAAAAAAAGCCCAAGCAACAATACAGCTAAAAAGAGATAATTTGTTACATGGCAGGATGAGAAGTTAATTTGATTTTTCTGTTGCTTTGATGTTTTGTATTTATCTCTCATTACAAAATTGGTTAAAAGCACAATTTTAAAGACTGCAATATATATTGTTAAACATCAAGGACAGAAAAAAGGTAAACCCTTACATCTCCTTTATGTGGTTTCTCACAGCTGTGCAGATCTGAAACACAAGCTAGAATAGCACAAAAACTGCATCTCGGAGCTGCACAAATTTCCTCGATTATACGTAGAGGAAAAGTGTGATTACCAAGAGCTTTGAGTGGATGTCGGAGAAAGTCATGTTGGGTTAACTGTCTGGTTGGCTCATCCGATGACAGAGCTTTACCTACTTGGATCTGATGCTGGGATTGTTTTGTTTGGTTTGGGTTTCTTTGGAAGTGAGGGAGGCCAGTATGGGATACAGGAAAGAGGGAAAGCATTGACTCCTTTCCACTAGTAAGCATTTGCCTCCTTCATCAAGCCAGTGCCACATTTCTGCATCCTTCGGCTTCCTTCTTCTGGTCTGATCCTTCTTGCCCCATAAGCTTGGCATTCTCTGATGGTTATTTTTGCTGTGTTATCTACCTCTAACAGCAACAGTAATCTTAATAAAATATAGTCTCACATTTCCTCCAAGTAGCTAGACGTTCTTAAGGCTTTAGACACAGCCTTCATTGTATGTAATAGTGGCCATTTTTCTTTTTGTCCTTGCACCTGTGTAAGCAGGGCACTAAATCTTGTAGGTCTCACCCTGATTTGCCTCTTTGCAGCAGCAAGGACACCTGAGTCTCTGTACTTTGACATAGATTTCTGCTTACATCGGGCAGTTCTGAGTCAGAGGGTGGTGGGCCTGAGTCACCACCATCTGCTTTCATCAACCATGTTCCCGAGACCCAGAGTGGGGAGATTCCCATGGCCCCATTCAGGCACGTACAGAGGCTTCATGAGCATGTGCTTCCCTAGCAGAGGCGAGAATGGCGCAGGGACCCTTGTGAATTTTTACTGGAGAAATTGTTACGGAATTCTCAGGCTCTTGTTTCCAAATTCTTTCTTCCCTCTCTTCTCTTTCCCATATTTTTCTTTTTCCCCCTCCACACATTAGAAGGCTTCAAGATAATAAGGTAATATTTATTGGGGACATGATGTGTATCAGGCACACTTATGCATATTAACCTATTTAATCTTCACAACCACCCTATGAGGTAGGTGGGCACAGCTATTATCCTCATTTTACAGCCAATGAAATAGGCAGAGAGGGTAACTTCTCCAAGCTCACTACATGGGAGAAGCAAGCTTCACACCCAAGCAGTTGGCCCAGAGTGCAGGCTGTGGGCCACTGTGCTCTGTGCATCGTAACAGGGCACCAGAGCTAGCTTGCCTGTGCTCTGGGGAGGGGGCTGATGTGAAAGAGACCAAAGCTAGAGTGAAGAGTGAGGTGTGGGAGTGCATGCTGGTGGTGTGTGGGGCGTGTGCGTGGAGAGCCTGACCTGTTTTCCTGTCGTCCTGTCATTTACTCTGTGAGTACGCCCAGTTACTTAACCTCTTTGCTTCTCAGTTCCCTAGTTCATAAAATTCCAGGAATATGAATAGCGCTTAACCCCTCATAGGGTTGTTGTGATGATTAACTGTGTTAATAAAGTCCCTAGGACAGTGGCTGGTCCATGAATGTTAGCCATTATCATCAGCATCATCATTAATTTGGGAACCACTCCACCTCCTCTTTCTACTAGACTGGTAGTGACAAAAATAACATTTCTAGCAAGTTCCAGGTGGTGCCAATGCTTCCTGCCTGGGAATCACACTTTGAGAACCACTGAGGTGGAGGATCTGGAAGTTCTTCCTTTCTTAGCACCCCACATTCCGTTTCTTTCCCTGAGCTCTGTCCCTGGGTTATTTTCACTTTCTGTCTTTAGTACCCAGAGTGGCCAGCTTGCATGGCTATCAATAACCAGTGAAAGGAGCTTCCCCAGAACCTCTCATTGACTCCTTTCAATGAATACTGTAATTTGTATTCATTTATTACCCAACCCGCTTATTCTACCTCAGGGTGGGAGGTAGCCGGAGCCTGTCCCCAGCAACTCAAGGCACAAGGTGGTAACCAACCTTGGACAGGACGCCTGCTTTCAGCAGGATCTGATGTGATGGGTAGGCCTGTTTCCACGAGAGGGAGATGCAAGCAAGTGAAAAGACAGAAGTTAGCAAGTGTTGAATGCGTAGTATGCACAGAAACACACCTGAGTGAGTGCATCCATGAATAAAGACAGCAGATGATTTTGAAAGTAATAGGAGGCCAGGCGTGGTGGCTCGTGCCTGTAATCCAAGCACTTTGGGAGGCCAAGGTAGGCGGATCACTTGAGGTCGGGAGTTCGAGACAGGTTTGGCCTACTTGGTGAAACCCTGTCTAAAAACATACAAAAATTAGCCAGACGAGTAGCTGTAGTCTGAGCTACTCGGGAGGCTGAGGCAGGAGAATCGCTTGAACTCGGGAGGCAGAGGTTGCAGTGAGCTGAGATCACACCACTGCACTCCAGCCTGGGTGACAGAGCAAGACTCCGTCTCAAAAAAGAAAAAAAAATGTAATAGAAAAGTAGAGAAAAGAATCTTCCTCCCTGAAAGATAATGACCTTTGAGCAAAGATGGAGGTAATGGAGGAAAGTGGGGAGAAGAGAGAAAGGGGCCCTAATTGTCACATTCATGGTTGGAATTGTGAGGTTGTAAGAAGCAAAGGCAGCAGGCACCCTGATCTTAATCAGACAGATGACAGCTTGCCTTTCACAAAGTAAAAGGTAATAGTGTATAAATGAGAGAAAAGTAGGAGTTCCAGTCACTTTACTACCTCTGGGGACGGAAGGGAATGGGGAGCAGGTCTGGGGTTCAGTATTTGTGTGACTGCTGACTTCAGAGGTCTGAATTCTCTGCAGCTCACTTGCTGCCTCAGTGGGTGGGGTGTGATGGGACTTCCCATCCAGGGCCCTAAACTCTAGAATCCATCCTCATAAGAACTGCGCTGCCTCTGAGCACCTGGGCAAGCTCTGTGTGGGATGCAGATACTCTGCGAAATAAGGGTTCTGCTTCTTTTAGGCTGCAAGAGCAGAACTGGGATGTGAATTCCAGCCCAGGGCATTTTGCACCCTGGATCTGGTTTATGCTCTTACTTGCTGCAACTATGATGGTGGCTGTTTCCCCGGGGTCTCCCAGCCCAAGTCTGGTCCTGGAGTGGCTCACAGCAAGTCTCATTGCCCCGAGGCAGGAAGGCTGCAGAGAAAGTTACCCTTGGAGTAGGGAGAGAGGAGAGGAAGCCAGTGCTCTCTTCAAGTGGTCTGCTCTGTGTTCACAGGCCCGATGGGCTCCCCAAGGCTGTCCTAGCCAGGCTGGATCTGTGCCAGGCCTTGACCCAGCAGCTGTGTTCCGTACCTTGGATTCCTGACAAAAGCAAAATAATTGCTGCTTCCAGCTACAACCAGCTGGCTACCAGGAGAAGTCACCAGGGAGAGTTCTGCTGTATCCTCTCTGCCCCTACCCCCAGCTTTCCGTTCTCAAGAATGACACTTTGTTGTTCCTTTGTATGTCAGTCCCAGATTGGAAATGAAAAAAGGAATTGAAAAAAACTAAAATATCATAATGGGGTGGTACATTTCCGAATGGTTGTTGATGGGTCTGGGGGTTTCCTGTGTACCCCAAGCAGGAAGTTTCGACTTGTTTTGAGACTGTCAGCTCTTGATTGGAGACTTCCCTGGAAGAAGCAGTCGTTCAAGAGAGTGAGCTCTTTGTGTTTATAGAAGACGAAAAAATACAGCTGGGCGCTGTGGCTCACGCCTGTAATCCCAGCACTTTGGGAGGCCGAGGCAAGCGGATTACGAGGTCAGGAGACCGAGACCATCTTGGCTAACATGGTGAAACCCCGTCTCTACTAAAATACAAAAAATTAGCCGGGCGTGGTGGTGGGTGCCTGTAGTCCCAGCTACTCGGGAGGCTGAGGCAGGAGAATGGTGTGAACCCGGGAGGCAGAGCATGCAGTGAGCCAAGATCCCGCCACTGCACTCCAGCCTGGGCAACAGAGTGAGACTCCTTCTAAAAAAAAAAAAAAAAAAAGAAGGGAAAAAAATACATATATTTTCCTTTGGGAGGCCAAGGTGGGCGGATCATGATGTCAGGAGATCAAGACCATCTTGGCTAACACGGTGAAACCCCGTTTCTACTAAAAATACAAAAAATTAGCCAGGCATAGTGGCATGCGCCTGTAATCCCAGCTACCTGGGAGGCTGAGGCAGGAGAATTGCTTGAACCCGGGAAGCGGAGGTTGCAGGGAGCCAAGATCGTGCCACTGGACTCCAGCTGGGTGACAGAGCGAGACTCTGCCTCAAAAAATATATATATTATACATTTATATATAGTATATATAACTATATATATAAATGTATAATATATTATATGTTTTTAAATATTATATATAATATAATATATGTATTATATAAAAATATATAATACATATATTTTCCCCCTTATTCTCCTAGGTTCCTCAGCTGGGGTCCTGTAAATTAGATTGACAAAAGACAGATTAGCAAGAGAAACATAAACAAGTTTATTAACATGCACATCACAAATACACATGGGGGCACTCAGAGATGAGTAACTCAAAGGGATGGTTACACCTTGGCTTATATAGCATCTTAAAAGAATAGTAAAGTTTTAGAGAGATGACAAAGACAAAGGAAAAGGACTTTGAGTTTCTAAGGCAGCAAGTTGTGGGAAGGTAAATAGTGGGGGAGCTAATGGAAGATAAGTGCTAATTGGGAAGGTTGGTTGTATAGACTCCTCTGGTGCCCTCTCCGGGCTGGTAAGGGTCTAGAGTTATCTCTGGTGATTCACTTCTGTCCTTCCTGGTAGAGAGGGGAGGAGAGACACATTTACAGATTTATGTTCTGCTTTTAGGTAAATAGGGGGAGGGCAGAGAGCTCTTTTGTATCTGCTGCTGTGTAATTGCCTTCAGCTCAAAATAATCTTTATCCTAAAAAGGCATATTTTGGAGTAGCATGTTCTGCTCCCTTCATGTTCAAGAAGATATGTTTAAAATTCTTTCTCTTAAACATATCTCTTTCCCCCCTTCCGTCAATTCAAAAAATATTTACTATTCCACTGACAAACTTGTATTTGGTTAGACCTATGGGATGCAGAGCTGTGTGCTGGGAGATGCCGGGGGGAGGGTGAAATCCAGAGCTGAGTGCTGCTCTCAGGAAGCTTATAGTTGAGCTTATCAGTCAAGGTGTAAACACAAGAAAGCATCGCTGACTATAATCCTCACCAGCCCAACCTCTAGCTCCAGGCCAGCCTCCCTCCTCCTCCAGAAGTCCTTGGCCCTCCTCACCACCATAGGTACAGCCCCTCCTTCCTTCTGGGGAAACCCTTCCCGACCCTTCCATCCCAAAATGAATCGTCTGCCTTCTCAGCAACCTACTTGTCTTCACGGACTTTGTAGTTTACCACAAACCCTTGGAATGCCTCTTGGTGACTTGGAGTCTTTAATTTTGGTGTTGCCATTTCAGCTTTTGGAGGCTCAAAGAAGACTTCTTCAACTTGTGAGGTGGATTGGTGAGGTTGGCCACACACAGAACTTCTGTTCTTTCTCCAAACACTTCTATACCTTTCTCCCTCTCCTCTGCCTGGAAAATTCCCATTCCTTTTTAAAAATCGAGGTCAGAAATCACATCTTCTTTGCAGCCCTCCAGACTCCTTCAGAGAGACAAAGTCACCACAGCCTGTAGCCCTTCATTCTCCTATAATTGGCTGGTGGGTTCTTCCTGCCCACTGCACAGACAAAATCAATCCACTGAGACAACGGCATTGCAGTAGAGAAAGAGTTTAATTGACATGAGCGTAGCCCACATGGGAGAATCAGAATTGTCATTCACATTGGTCTCCCTGAAGGCTTGGAGATTAGGGTTTTTATGGGCAATTTGGTGAGCAGTGGTCGGGGGCTAGGGAATGGGTGCTGCTGTTGGTTAAGGATGAAATCACAGGGGAGTGGAAAATGGTCCTTTTGCACTGAGTCTGCCTCTGGGTGGGGCCACAGGATCAGTTGAGTCATGAGTAGCGAGTCTGAATGGGGTTAGTCTGAAAGATATTTCAAAAAACCAATCTTAGGTTCTACAATAGTGATGTTATCTATAGGAGCAATTGGGGAAGTCAGCAATCTTGTGACCTCTGGCCACATGACTCCTGAGCAGTAAGGGATTGTAGAAACTATGCCTATCTTATCAGAATTGAGGCCCCTCTCATAATCCTAACCTTGTGACCTTTCACTAGTTTTACAAAGGCAATTTAGTTTTGGGAAGGGCTATTATCATCTTTGCTTTAAGGTAAAACTAGAAACTAAATTCCTCCCAAACTTAGCTTGGCCTACACGTAGCCAGGAATGACCAAGGGTAGCTTGGAGGTCAGAAGCAAGATGGAATCAGCTATGTCAGAATTCTCTTACTGTCATAACTTTGCAAAGGCAGTTTCACTCCTTTATGACATCTTTATTTTTATTTTTAAATTATTTATTATTATTATTTTTAGAGACAGGGTTTCACTCTGTCACCCAGGCTAACCTATAGACTAACTTAAGACAGGAAAAACATACAGAGGAGACAAGAGCTGGTCTTGCTCATTAAAAGGCTCAAGACTAGAGGTGGGGCATGGTGGCTCATGCCTGTAATCCCAACACTTTGGGAGGGCCGAGGCGGGCAGATCACTTGAGGTCAGGAGTTCCAGACCAGCCTGGCCAACATGGTGAAACCCCGTCTCTACTAATAATACAAAAATTAGCTGGGTGTGATGGTGCGTACCTGTAATCCCAGCTACTCGGTAGGCTGAGGCATGAGAATCGCTTGAATCCAAGAGGAGGAGGTTGCAGTGAACCGAGATCGCGGTCACTGCACTCCAGTCTGGGCGACAGAGTGAGACACTGTCTCAAAAAACAAAAATGAAACAAAAAGTCTCAAGGCCAGAAAGGGGAGACCAAGAGAAGCTAGACTTTCCTAGAGTCAAGGAAACCAGTTGTAAGGGATTTACCTATGAAGTCAGAACAGTTTTGACTGCCTGTCAATGGGGGTGTCCAAGGAGAAAGACCATTGCTTCTGAAAAGACTAAAAGAGAACCAAAGCATGGAGCAGCAGCTGTCTCTGGGAGACAAAAGGAAGAATCTTCACGGAGGCTGGGACTGATGGATGGACCATAACCTCTGATTTGGTGATACAACTCCAGGAGTGGGACCTGTATACTCATAGAGGGTGAGGATGAGTGTGTTTCTGAATGTTTGAAATATGTTTAACTCCACAAGGGTAGACCAGGGTACACACCTTTAAGGAGCATACATACTCTTAGTATAGTGTTCTATGCAGATGGCATCCCTTAGTGACCTTTTCCAGAGACAATGCAGGTGGTGCAGTTGTACAGGACCAAGGCCTTGTCCACTGCATATCATTGTTACACCCGAATCCCCTTACATCCTAAAGTCAAGTTTAGGGTTTCATTTGAACCTGAGTGGAGGAGAAATGAATTCAGAATCTGATGGGGAAACCTCTCCTTACTTAGATATGAACCCAGGAACCTCAAGATGTGAGATGGGGTGGACTTTTCTGTAGCACACCTCTATATTATCCTGTCATGATTATTTAAAAAAGAAGCTTCATTCCATTAGAGCTGGAACAGCCCCCACTCTGCAGGATGAGCTTGGGCAGCAATTGACAGGTGCCCTTCAGAACTTAGAAAATGTAGAGGAGAAAGGAGATGTGTCTCCTTTTCTTGACCAATTAGGACAGCTTTGTGACAGCTCCAGGGGAAAGGAACAGGACGAAGAGGGCTGTGTATGAGATGGGAGCATGCCAAGAAGCATAGGCTTTATCCAGTCCAGCGCGTCTCACACTGCACACTGTGGCCTCACAGGGGGTGTAGAACACTTCAGTTTGGATCGTGACCAACATTTAAAGCATAATAAAATAGAAAGTGTCAGTGCATTGAGTTTAGTAAGAATTAAATATTGTTTATGAAAATTGTATATCAGTCATATTTGTGTGTGTTCTAGATTGCAACGTGTATTATATTACTTAGTGCAGGTCTCTATTTAAAAAAAAAAAAACAGCTGCTTTCTTAACAAGCAGAGTGAAAATAACTAGTCTTTTAATCTCAGTGTCCGGCAAACTCAAGTTTGCCCAGTTGATAAAGTCCCGATTAACCTTGCTGTAAAAATCCAAGGTAATTGTTTTTTTTTTTTTTTTTTGAGACAGAGTTTCGCTGTTGTTGCCCAGGCTGGAGTGCAATGGCACAATCATGGCTCACCACAACCTCCATCTCCCGGGTTCAAGCGATTCTCCTGCCTCAGCCTCCCGAGTAGCTGGGATTACAGGCACGAGCCACCACGCCCGGCTAATTTTGTATTTTTAGTAGAGATGGGGTTTCTCCATGTTGGTCAGGCTGTCTCGAACTCCTGACCTCAGGTGATCTGCCTGCTTTGGCCTCCCAAAGTGCTGGGATTACAGGTGTGAGCCACCATGCCTGACCCAAGGTTATTGTTTAGGAACAAACATGGTGGGAGCAAAAAGTTGTTGGGTGTTCCTCTGTTTAAGAGCCTTCTGGAAGGATGAAGTCTCCACTGGGCTGACACAGAGCCTCTGCGGCCTCTGAGGCCTGTCAGTGGAGACCCTTCAGGCGGTTTTTCCTCACTTAGGTTCCATGACTCACCTTGTCAGTTGAAATCCTGCTTCCTATGGGATTGGGCCAAAATCAAATGCATCTTTCCCAGAGCTTTCTTTTCTTTTTTCTTTTTTTTTCTTTTTTTGAAACAGAGTTCACTCCCATCACCCAGGCTGCAGTGCAGTGGCATGGTCTCGGCTCACTGCAACCTCTGCCTCCCAGGTTTAAGTGATCTTCCCACCTCAGCCTTCTGGGTAGCTGGGACTACAGGCACATACCACCAGGCCCAGCTAATTTTTGTATTTTTTGTAGAGGTAGGGTTTCATCATGTTGCCCAGGCTAGCCTCGAACTCCTGGTCTCAAATGATCTGCCCACCTCAGCTTCCCAGAGTGCTAGGATTACAGGCATGAGCCACCACGCCCGGTCCAGGCTTTATTTTCTAAAGGAATCACGTTTTAGAATGTCCATGGGTGAGCTAATGCTGTGACAGTAACATATGGAAGAAAAAGTACACTCATGCTACCCATAGCTGTCATTTTTGTTTGTTTGGTGAGACAAGTGGAAGGTGCTGGTATAGTACTGTGAGTGGTTGATAGTGAAATGAAAATAAAACTCAAGTATGGCTTTTACCCTCTGAAAGTTAGCGTGGACGGTGGTGACAGAGTGATAGCTTTCTTTGGGCTTGAACTGAATTCACATTCAAAGTTTGATTATCACCATCAGGAGCCTGTACCCATGAGCCCCATTAGCCCTTAGGAAAGCCTAACACCATCTAGATTTCACATCAGCTGGAAAGGTTTATTTCTGAAGTTCAGGGGAGTTATTTATTAAAGCAACAAAATATTCCGAGGATATAGATTATGGGAAAACTCCTTACTCTGGAACTATTCTGACTTGGTTTTTCTTTTTTGTTGTATTTGGCCTTCAGAAAACCCTTCCTGAATTCTTCCTGGTTATCATCCAGGTTGATAACCTTGTTGGTCTTTAAGTGTGCAATTTGAAATATAATCAACATATGTCTACCATTTTCTTTGCATGGGAGAGAGTGAAAATTGTTTCTTATTAATAGTTACCTTTATTATGTTCATTAGGAAAAACAAAATGCCATGTTCCATTTGCTCTCAGAGGCAGTGGAGGACAGGCCCTGGGGCCTAAATGTCTAGGTTCGTATCTTCCTGCTGCCACTAGCAAGCCCCACTGCTCACAGGCACAACGACAGCAGTTTTCAGGGTATCTATCACCTGTCTACCACTTACCAAGCACTTGACATTTCTCATCTTTAGTCCTAAAAACAGTTCTTCCAGCTTTGTTTTGTTCTTCCCATTTTTCAGATGAGGAAACAGACTCAGAAAGCATTAGGGAAGAGCTAATCACGGCCACCATGTATATCTTTTTATATTATTCTTTTAATTTGATATTGCCTTTCCCACTTACTCTAGGGCCTACTTATTTGTGGGCAGGAAGAGGAGGTATGCATGTATTTAAGTTTAATCAGTTTGGTATTAGAAAGTCTGTACAAAGCAAGGTCTGTTTTATTTATTTATTTTTTCTAAAGATGGGGGTCTCACCATGTTGCCCAGGCTGGTCTCAAACTCCTGGGCTCCAGCAATCCTCCTGCCTCAGCCTCCCAAATTGCTGGGATTACAGGTGTGAGCCACCATGCCTGGCCTAAAGCAAGGTTTAGCCCGTACTTTCTCATGCTGGCCATCTATGTTCTGGTTCTAACGTTTGTGTGGTTGGTGTTAATGTTAGACCTAAAAAGAGAAAGATGAAATTCGGTATTTGTTATCAACTGTCAAAGACACTTGTTTTCCCCAGACTTTTATTATGTACATTTTCAAACATACAGAATTTTAAAGAATAATACAGTAAACACCCATATATCTACCACTAGATTCAATAATTATTAACATTTGCCATATTTGCTTTATTTACCTATAACTTTTTTTCTCAGCCATTTGAAAGTAAGTTGCAGATGTTGTGGCCATTTACACCTAAATGATTCCATACACATCCCCTAAAAATAAGGATATTATCATAACCTAATCTAATATCTTGTCCAGATTCAGATTTCATGTGTCCTCAGACTATCTTTTATAATTGTTTTTTGTTTTGAGCTAGGAGCTAGTCAGGCTTTCACATTGTATTTGATTGTTATTTGTTTTCATTGTCTTTGGAACAGACCCTCACCCTTGACATTGACTTTTTGTTTTAGTTTTCTGTAGAATGTCCCACATTTTTGTGTGATTGTTTCTACCTTCCCTCTGTTTTCTGTAAACTGCGAGGTGAGTCTTACCGGCATGGTTGAAGTTAAGCATATTTGGCAAGAATGCCTGAAGGGTGATGCTGTGTGCTTCCTATTCATCATCAGAAGGTGTCAATTGCCTGCTTGTTCCACTTTAAAGTTTTTTAATTTTTAAGCTTTATCACGCTTATCAAACATATCAGAAAGCAAATAATCAGCGCATCTTATGGTAATCGACAAAACTGAACAAGGTAATTTTATTTACAGAAAAAATTTTAGCAAAAAAGTATATAGTACAGTCAATTGAAATGCATGTTCATTCTTCTTAGGTATACAAGAAAGTAGAAAATAAAAGTTCTCTGCTGCCCAATAAGAAAAAACAAGTCTTTTAAAAGACTTGAATGGAAATCAGACATTTAGGGATTTGTGAAAAGAACTTCTTGGTGCGGATCCACATCTACATTTAGAATTCCACTTAGTTATTTTTAAAAATAAATAAACGTCACAAACAAGACATCACAAAGAACAGAGAGCCCCTAGTGCCAAAAATTGCCAGGACCAATATGCTATTGAAACAACTGGTAGAAATGTTACAGACACCTCTTCACTATGTAATGTTCCTGTAGTTCTGAGGTGAAGGTAAACCAGCAGGAGAGAATCCTTTTTTTTTTTTTTTTTTTTGAGACAGAGTTTCGCTCTTGTCACCCGGGCTGGAGTGCAATGGCGCGATCTCGGCTCACCACAACCTCTGCCTCCCAGGTTCAAGCGATTCTCCTGCCTCAGCCTCCTGAGTAGCTGAGATTACGGGCACCTGCCACTATGCCCGGCTAGTTTTTGTAATTTTTGTATTTGTAGTGGAGACGGGGTTTCACTACGTTGGCGAAGCTGGTCTTGAACTTCTGACCTCAGGTGATTTGTCCGCCTCGGCCTCCCAAAGTGCTGGGATTACATGCGTGAGCTACTGAGCCCAGCCGAGAATACTTTTTTTTTTTTGAGATGGAGTTTGGCTCTTGTCACCCATGCTGGAGTGCAGTGGTGCAATTTCGGCTCACTGCAACCTCCGCCTCCCGGGTTCAAGTGATTCTCTTGCCTCAGCTCCTCAGTAGCTGGGATTAGAGGCACCTGCCACCACACCTGGCTAATTTTTGCATTTTTAGTAGACACCTAGTGTTTCACCACGTTGGCCAGGCTGGTCTCGAACCCCTGACCTCAGGTGATCCTCCTGCCTTGGTCTCCCAAAGTGCTGGGATTACAGGAGTGAGCTACCATGCCCAGCTGGGAATACTTTTTGTAAGTAGCTTTGGATTAAGTGATCTTTCACATTTTTTCTAACTATACCATCTTATCAAAAACATAACAATTACTTATTACTGAGTAAAAATAGTAGTAGCTTTTAATATTCACAACCAACCACTCTAGTGCTGACATAGGAGGCTACAAACTTAAAATTTTTTGATCATAACTAGATGATCAAGATGGAGCCCTTTTTGGGGGTAAAAATTCCTTCTACTCCATATTTGACACTGTTAAGAGGATATAAAGGAAAGTTAAATTATTTAAGATTTTTCACAAAAGATTTAAGAATGAAAGAATAAATCCTGCTGGAAAAGAATATGACAGCCATACCATCTGCAAAGTAAATCTTCTACAGAGGTGCAGCTTGACTCTTTTTATAGTAATAAATAAACACTGCTTAGTTCCATAAGGCACTGTCACTGCAGCTAGTGCACACTAGTGCCACCCACTGTCCCCAGTGTGCAACAGGAAGGGTGGAGGTGCGTTCCAGTGTTACTGATGCTAAGCTTCATCTCTTGGTTAAGTGGTGGCTTCCAGATGCTTCCGTTGTAAGATTCTATTTTCCCCTTTGCAGTTAGGAAGCAATTTAAGAGGTGATACTTCTCCCAAATCCTTTCATCTAATGATTTTAGCATTTGTATTAGTTTGCTCCTATAACAATGTACTACGGATGGGGTGGCTTAAGCAATAGAGATGTGTTGTCACACAGTTCCAGAGGCTAGAAGTTCAAGATGCAGGTGTGGGGAGCTTCCTCTGAGGGCTGTGAGGGAAGGATTTGTTCCAGGCCTCTCTCCTTCGCTTATAGATGGTTGGCTTCTCCCTATGTCTCTTCACATTGTTTTCCTTTTGTGTATATCTGTGTCTAAATTTCCTCTTCCTATGAGGACATCAATCACACTGGACTAGTCAACCCTTGCCTGCCCATGACCTCATTTTAACTTGATTACCTCTGTAAACACCCTACCTCCACGTCAAGTCACATTCTGGGGCACTGGGGGTTAGGACGTCAACTTTTGAATTTTGGGGGGACACAATTGTGATTCTTGCCTGAATCTGTTATTTATTGGGGTCTTTAGGTTTCTGTGAAACAGATTCTGAGATGCAGATTTGTGTGCTGGCATATCTAGTACTGTGCTTAGAAACATCTGTGGGGGAATAAGAAGCAGAATTGGACAGAGAGAGAAGCTGAATTGCAGTGCAGTTACAACAGAGGCCTCAGCCTATATGCTACAGGGAGCTGCGAAACGGGGCAGTCCTTTGAGGTTTTTTGTTTGTTTGTTTGTTTGTTTTTGTTTTTGTTTTAAGATGGGGTCTCACTCTGTCACCTAGACCGGAATGCAGTGCCATGGTCACAGCTCACTGGAGCCTCAAAATCCTGGGCTCAAGAGATCCTCCTACCTCAGCCTCTCTGAGTAGCTGGAACTACAGGCATGTGCCACCACCACACCCAGCTTTTTTATTTTTAATCACTTTGTAGAGATGGGGGTCTTGCCGTTTTGCCCAGGTTGGCCTAGAACTCCTGGACCCAAGAGATCCCCTCACCTCGGCGTCCTGAAGTGCTGGGATTACAGGCATGAGTGACTGTGCCTGGCCCGGACAGCCCTTTGGAGATGTTCCAAATTGAGGCAAAAGGCCAAATTTTGTACCCCTTTATCTACTAAGCATTGAATGCAGGCTGCTGCCAGGGAGGAGGCAAGCCTTGGGCTGTGCAGCTTCCCAGGTAGGGCAATGCCTGAGGAAAGACTCAGTTGTGAGCTGTTAGGCACCAACAATCCCAGTAGTTGGGGAATGAGTACCTGGACCTACAGAGGGTTGGGGCAGTGCTCAACAGCATCAGACACAATTGGGGATTGCAGAAGGGTGATTTCCCCCTCTAACCTGCATTTATTATTAATAATTTCTGAAATTATTAATTTCTGAAAAGAAGATCTTTCCTTCATCAACTAGGAATGGATTATAGTTCTAAAAAGACAGGATAAATGCTGCTTTCTCTTTTGTCTTTTTTTTTTTTTTTTTTTTTTATTTTTGCCTTTTTTGAGACAGCATCTCTCTCTGTCACCCAGGCTGGAGTTCATGATTACAACTCACTGCAGCCTCGACCTCCTGGGCTCAAGTGATCCTTCCACCTCAGCTTCCCGAGTAGCTGGGACTACAGGCGTACATCACCACACCCAACTAATTTTTAAAAAAATTTTTCTGTAGAGATGGTGTCTCACTATGTTGCCCAAGCTGGTCTTGAACCGGGGCACAAACAGTCCTCCCTCCTAGGCCTCCCAAAGTGCTAGGATTACAGGCATGAGCCACTGTGCCTGGCCGTTTCTCTTTTAATTACCAATTTTCCAAGTCATGAATGATGTAATTCATTTATACTCAGGGTTGCATTATGACTTTTGCCTTTGTAGGCCCCTTCTCCATAAAAATATATTAAAAATCATTTTACAACTACCAGCCTGGCCAACCTGGTGAAACCCCATCTCTACTAAAAATGCAAAAATTAGCTGGGCGTGGTGGTGTGCGCCTGTAATCCTAGCTACTCAGGAGGCTGAGGCATGAGAATCGCTTAAACCCAGGAGGCTGAAGTTGCAGTGAACTGAGATTGCACCCCTGCACTCCAGCCTGGGTGACAGAGCGAGACCCTGTCTCAAAAAGAAGAAAATCATGGCCGGGCGCGGTGGCTCATGCCTGTAATCCCAGCACTTTGGGAGGCCGAGGCGGGTGGATCACAAGGTCAAGAGATCAAGACCATCCTGGCCAACATGGTGAAGCCCCGTCTCTACTAAATATACAAAAAATTAGCTGGGCGTGGTAGCGGGCCCCTGTAGTCCCAGCTACTCGGGAGGCTGAGGCAGGAGAATGGCGTGAACCTGGGAGGCGGAATTTGCAGTGAGCCGAGATTGCGCCACTGCACTCCGGCCTGGGCGACAGAGCGACGCTCCGTCTCAAAAAAAAAAAAAGAAAATCATATTTTACAACTGTATTGGTATAAAGACAACTATAATCGAGGCTAGACTCATGATTATGTACTTATTACTATATTCTCTTTTTATCTTTTTGAAGAAAACATATTGTGGGCTGTGAGCACTGTGCCTACTGTGTCTAGTGGGTAAGTTAGCCCTGGTAATGTCCTAGATTGAGGCCAGGCAGGTAATAAATGAAGAGGGTTGATTCAGAGTGCATGTACTACTGTATGGGGTAAACAGGGGTGTCATGTGGAGCTGTCTCAGTGGAAGGGGTATGTAGTTCCTGGAAAAAGTTGCCATGCAAGAAAGAGAGGTGGCCTGACATTGCCAGATCTTTCCATGTTTCAGGAGAAGCCAGAAAAAGAGATTTTAAAATTTGAAATTCCCTATTTTTAATTGTTGGATCAGTTTTTTAAAAAATCTGTGGGTTGGTTGTGGCCTGGGGGCTGCCAGTTTGAGAACTCGGCTAGCAGCGAGCCCCCTGAAATGGAGGCTGCCCACTCTGATACTCCGCACCCTGGAGGAAACGGGCATGTGGAAGGTGCTCGTACGTGCTTGAGAAGGAATGAATGAATAATTGTATTTTGATAAGTCAACTCATTAAAATTAGGTTGGAATTTATGCATAAGAACCAAGTGAAGGTCAGAAAACCAAGCCTTGTAATATGCTGCAAAGAAAAAAAAAAGTCTGTCTTGGGGTTATTCACAGCAACTTAAAGCGATTTGGCAAGAATAAAAATGTGTGAAGAAACCTCTTGAAACTGGAGTTTGTGAACTAGGTCAGGCTGCCTTAATGATGCAGTCCCTAACTAGAGAACTGAAGGGGGTTTCATGGTATCTTGAAAGAATATTGCATTATTAAATTTCATCTTTTTTTTCTATTTAAGCCAGAAACATTGTGATAACAACAACCTTGAAAAAAATGTGTTTTGTAACTTTTTGGTGGGGGGAGCAGCAAGTACACCTCGCTGCCAAATATTCTTCATGTTTGTCCTTGGCCTGTGGCTGCCAGATAGAGGAACGTTTGGTCAGAATCCACTGGGTTCACACCGATCACCATGGTGAGGGAGGGTCTGAGTCAGAAAAAAGGACGAGAGGAGGATGAAGAAATCAGGACGGAGAGATGAGGACGGAGAGAAACAGCTCCTCCCAAGAGGCTTTCCTGGACTTTTCACTTTAATTTCCAGCTCTTTTGGCTCAGAAATAAAAGCAACAGTGATGCCTAGGGCCTCTCTCCATAGAATGTTCCCAAAGATGTCCCTCCAGAGCACAGCACTCAGCCCTCTGAGGGTCTGGTTATTGTGGTCTTTATGCTTCATTGCTGCAAAGGTGCCTGCCAGCTCTTCTGTGAAACCTTGGATTCCTGGACTTCAACCAGCAACTGTCTTTATTCCCTTAGAGAGATTGCTTTTTTTTTTTTTAAAAAAAAAAGGTGATAATGACCCATAACTACTCAGTTCAGATGATGACAGCAGAAATTATTCTTTTTTTTTTTTCACTTGCCTGAAATTGACCACTTTTGGTACTGTTTTTAATTTTTATCTTCCTTCAGAGGGACCAACTTTTTATTTTATTTTATTTTATTTTTGAGAGGGAATCTCACTCTGTCGCCCAGGCTGGAGTGCAGTGGTACCACCTCGGCTCACTGCAACCTCTGCCTCCTGGGTTCAAGCAATTCTCGTGCTTCACCCTCCCAAGTATCTGGGATTACAGGCATGTACCATCACACCTGGCTAATTTTTGTATTTTTAGTAGAGATGGGGTTTCACCATGTTTGCCAGGCTGGTCTCGAACTCCTGACCTCAAGTGATCTGCCTGCCTTGGCCTCCGAAAGTGCTGGGATTACAGGCGTGAGCCACTGCACCAGGCCAAAGGACCAACGATTTTGATATTAGTTTCCTATTTATAGGCAGAGATATTAATGAGCATGCATATACCTATAGTGATATAAAATGTATGCACATCTTCCTCTAACACACACAAACTTACTGCCCAAGATAAAATAAAAACTGAATAATTAATGAAAAGGAAATTCAGTGGGTCCATAGCACAGTAAATTACTCACTTTGTTCTCAATTTTCCCTAATGGTGATTTCGATAGTTGCATAACATGGAGAGAGAGAGGTTGTGATGGGAGTTATCCTGAATCAGAAGCAATGAATGTGTTTGCTCTTCCCCATTTCACCTCAGAGAACCTGAGCAGTCTGAGGACCCGGTTCAAAAAAAAAGTCTGTGTTGGGATCTGGGTCATCTTTTCCCTAGAGCCTCTGCTTCCTGGTCACCCAGCCTCAACCTTGCAATGTCTGCCTAGTAATAAAAATAATGGTGTTTGCAGTAATATTTATTGAAATATTGTTATATGCTAAATACCCTATACAGTGATCCTTCAGTATGTATAGGGGGTTGGTTCCAGGAACCCTCCATGGATACTAAAATTCACAGATGCTTGAGTCCCTTATATGAAATGGCATAGTATTTGCATATAACCTTTGCACATCCTCCCATATATTTTAAATCATCTCTAGATTACTTATAATACCCAAAACAATGTAAATGCTATGTAAGTAGTTGTTACAGTATATTGTTTAGGGAATAATGACAGGAAAAAAGGGCCTGTACATATTTAGTGCAGACATAACCATCCATTTTGCTTCCTCAAGTATTTTCTTTCTTTCTTTCTTTTGTTTATTGAGACTGAGTCTAGCTCTGTTGCCCAGGCTGGAGTGCAGTGGTACGATCTCGGCTCATTGCACCCTCTGCCTCTCAGGTACAAGTGATTCTCCTGCCTCAGCCTCCTGAGTAGCTGGGATTACAGGCGTACGCCACCATGCCTGGCTAATTTTCATAATTTTAGTAGAGACAGGGTTTCACCATGTTGGCCAGGCTGGTCTCGAACTCCTGACCTCAAGTGATCCGCCCACCTCGGCCTCCCAAAGTGCTGGAATTACAGACATGAGCCACCACGCCCAGGCTTCTTCCGCAAATATTTTCAGCCCACAGTTGAATCCACAGGTGAATCCACAGTTGAATCCACAAATGTGGCACCCATGGATAAGGAGGGCTGACTGTATGTATTTTCACTTAAGTCCCCCAACAACACTTTGATGTAGTCTTTTGTTTGTTTGTTTGTTTACAGATAAGAGAACTGAGACTAAGAGACAGTAAGTCGGTATCACCCCAGCTAGGAAATGGCAGAGGGGCAGTTCCAGATTCCCTGTGAGCTCCCTCCCTTCTGTGTGGAAGGAGCTGACATTCTCCGTGAGTTCTTCCAGGGAGCTTTGATTCCCATGCCTAGTAAATGATCTCCCCGACACCCGGAAGAGAAGCTTTGTGTTATTTGAGGGAAAGGAAGAGGCTTCGAAGAAGAGAGGAAGAAGCCACAGGGGAAATCATGGAACGCTCTCAGGCTGAACTAGTTTATGCTATCGAATAGTTTTTTCTCAAGGGCTTGCCTTGGTATCATTGTACTGAACAAATATTAGCAGATCAAAAAAATGATAACATTGACTTTTTTTGGTAAAATATTACACAATTGACAGCTCCAAATATAGCTCTCCTTATACTTGAGTGTGGCCACAAGTACCAGTTGCCAAACATTTTCAAAAGTGGACTGGAAGCAGAACAGCCTTAGTCTTTGTCATTTTCTTTCTCCTCCCTTCCCCAAACCATTCAGTTTAGTCATCTTGTTTTACATGCTGTTGGTCAAGAGCTAGGCTGTCAGCATCATCCTATGACAGCTAAGAGTTCTTAACTTTCTGGTCATCAAGTTTTTCCTCTTATCAATGCATCTCTTTTCCTTCACGAGACCTCATTTCCCACACCAAGGCATGAGGTATAAGCCAGAGTTATGACCCCTGTCTTGTCAGTATGAGGTTCTAGAATATATGTGTGTATTTTAAAGCTCCTCAGAAAATTATGATACAGGTAGCCTGGCGCCAGAATGGTGTTTGGGACACCCTTATTTTTTTTTTATTAATGAGGAAATTGAGGCCCAGAGTGATGAGTAACTTGTCAAGGGCCTTCCAGTTCCTAATCTAGGCTCTGGATGCTGAAAATAACCCAGATAGAAGCCAGAGGAAGCCCATCGGTTCAGCACAGGCCGGCCTCCTGGGGCACAGAGCAGCATGAGAAGGGAGGGTGTGTGTCTGCCAGGGGTGCATGGAGAATACTCAGCCCAACGTCTTCCATTTCCGCTCATTATCACTCATCTTCCACAGCCTTCAGATCTATCGTTCTAAATCTGATCACATGATTTTTTTTTTTTTTTCAGACGGAGTCTTGCTCTGTCACCCAGGCTGCAGTACAGTGGCATGATCTTAGTGCACTGCAACCTCTGCCTCCTGGGTTCAAGCAATTCTCGTGCCTCAGCCTCCCAAGTAGCTGGGATTACAGGCGTGTGCCACCACACCCGGCTAATTTTTGCATTTTTAGTAGAGGCGGGGTTTCATCATGTTGGCCAGGCTGGTCTCGAACTCCTGACCTCAAGAGATCTGCCTGCCTCAGCCTCCCAAAGTGCTGGGATAACAGGTGTGAGCCACTGCGCCTAGCCTCACATGAAATTCTTTATGGTATCCTGTTGTTCTCAAGATCAGTTCTATCTCTCTAGCTACATACAGGTTGAGTATCCCTTATCCAAACTGCTTGGGTTCAGAAGTGTTTTAGATTTTATATTTTTTCAGATTTTGGAATATTTGCCATATACTTACTGGTTGAACATCCCTGCTTCAAAAATCTGAAATCCAAAATGCTCCAATGAGCATTTCCTTTGAGCATCATGTGGGTGCTCAGAAAATCTCAAATTTTAGAACATTTCAGATTTTCAGATTAGGGATGCTCAACCTATATGAGTCCCTTCCAGACCTGGCTCCTTGCCTGTTTTACTCCCTTCATTTTACCCCCACAGCCCCCTGCCCTGGAGCCAAACCAAACCACTTGCTCCTGCTTGAACACACACAGCCTTCACACCTCCATGCCTTGCTAGCAGCAGTCCCTCCTTCATGAGCTCATGCTTCAGGTGCTCCTGTATACCTGGGTCTCTCCTTCAGAGTCCCTGTCACCCAGTAATGATTTGTTCAATGTTTACCTAGAGACTGCCCATGAGTAAAGGGACTACACCTATCTTGTCTGGACCTGGATAAGAGCAGTTTTGATTGGGGGCAGCTATGAGGGGAGAAAGACCAAAACCTGATTGAGTGGGTTTAAGAGAGAATGGAAAGAGAACTGCAACCAGTGATTAGAGGCAATATTCAGTAAGTTTCACTGTAAAGGGGAATAGGGAAATGGAATAGGATCCAGGTGGGGAAGTGGGGTCAAGAGAGGTTTTTAAATTTTGCTTTTTAACATAAGAGAAGTAACAGCATGGCTGTAGGCTGTGGGAATAATGTAAGTATGTGGGGCGGTGTTGATGATACAGACAGGCAGACAGGAATTTCTGAGTAATGTATGGGTAGGATGAGTGGATATGATGCACAAGGGAAGGGCCAGACTTAAAGAGAGAGTGGCTTGGCCATGTGCAGTCATGTAGCGATCATAGAGTACCCAGGCTCAGATGCTGGATGGTAGGTAGAGGTGGCGGAGCCTGGGGAAGTTCTGATATTCTTACTGAAATCAGAAGCAAAGTTATCAGGTGAGTAGGGCAGGGAGGTGTCAGGGGTGAGGTGATCGGAGCAGGTATGAGGTCAATGTCTAGGAGAGAGGGACCGCATATGGATCGGGGAAATATAATATGGTTGCTGGGTAATAGTAAAGCCCAATTGAGGTTAGTGGTCATGATTTTAAAGTGAGACCAATCAACATGGTTGAGTATTTTTCTCTGGTTGAGTTAGTTGCACAGATGCCAGCTGAGAATACATGGAAAGACAGACAGACACAATCCCTGCCCTCCTGGAGATGATGTTTCAGTAAGGGCAGATAGCACTGGACCAGTAATTCCTTATTTAATAACAACGTGACAATTGCTGTATTGGTTAACACAGAGGGCAACAGAGTATCTAACAGGAGTGCCTGTCTGAAGTGAGCCATGTATATACTGAATGAAGTCCTGGAACGATCCAAAATCTTGCCTTCTTTTTTGTTTGAATTACAAACTGTGTGGTGCAGTAGCAGAGTAGTAACAACGTATGCTATAATTTTGTGTTTCTTAGTGATCTGCTATGACTTTCATGCTTATTGCTATATAAGCTGTAAATCAACCAGGAAAAGTAGCAGTTGCCCAGTATGTTACAACCGTGTAAATGGACCTAACCCAAGGCAGGAAGGACACTTGAGGAAAATAAGCAATATGTATAAAAGGCATGAAATGTATCCTCTCTCTCTCCTGTTCTATCCCCTTGTCATTTAATCTTCCTAGATGTGGGCAGTTGCTTAAAGATTCATGCTGTGGGATGAGAGAACATATCTTTCTGCAGCTCATATGCGGCACAGTAGACGATGGCTTAGTGGAGGGAGGTAGATGGCAGAGAGGAGCTGCCGGTTATTGTAAGTATAATAGAATTTAGAAGGTTTTAATAGTAAGAAGAAACCCTTTGCTTCTCAGCTTGCAGTCTCCAACACCCTTGAAAATGTTCTGATTTTGAAAGAATTGTTGAAATAGTACCTACGTGGAAATCACCTCTGAATCTTGAACCTTGTATACCCAGACTTTTCAAGGGAAGATGTAAGATTTAACTGAGGTTCTTTGTGGTGCTATTCCATGAGATAAGTAGCCGTAGAGGTCCTTGCCCTGTCACTGGCAGCCCTTTATCAGACACACACACATGTGCGCATGCACACACATACACACACATTCATTCTCTCTGTCTCTCTGATCTGGCTGGTCAGAGAAACACTCAGGGACTCTGGGCCAGCAGCATCAGCACCTGCCACAAGCTCTTTAGAAATACAAGTTGAGGCCAGGTGTGGTGGCTCACGCCTGTAATCCCAGCACTTTTGGAGGCCAAGGCGGGCAGCTCACAAGGTCAGAAGTTCGAGACTAGCCTGGCCAACATGGTGAAACCCAGTCTCTACTAAAAATACAAAAATTAGCCAGGCGTGATGGCACACGCCTGTAATCCCAGCTACTCAGGAGGCTGGGGCAAGAGAATGGCTTGAACCCGGGAGGCAGAGGTTGCAATAAGCCGAGATCACGCCATTGCACTCCAGCCTGGGCGGAGCCTGGGCGACAGAGCGAGACTTCATCTCAAAAAAAAAAAATAAAATAAAAATAAAATATATATATATATATATATATATATATATATATATATATATATATATATATATGTTAGTTGGTCCCTCCCCAGACCTATTGAGTCAGAATCTCTTGGGCTGGGGTCCTGCAACTGCACTTTACTAAGATCCCCTGCCTTAGATTGTATCCTGGCTCTATCACTGTCAAGTTTTCTTCATCTATAAGATGGAGATCATAATGGCACCTACCCCCTACACTTGTGGTGAGTATTAAATGAGTTACTGTGTATAAAGTGCTTAAAGAGGGCCTGGCACATAGAAAGCTCTCAGTCAATGGTAGCTCTTATTATTATAGGGCACATGAAAATGTGAGAATCAGTGATACTATTGATCTCACACCATAGTCCTTTGTTTCCAGCTTATTTATGAAATAATATCAGAAATAAATTACTCCTGCTCCTAGAGCTCCCCATGAAACTAGAGAGGTGCGAAGAATCAAGGACAGGTGCAGTCAAATCCAGAGAATGAACAAGGCTTGGTTTCAAGAAGAGCTTTCCTAAGAATTTAGCGATTCTCTACCTTGTCACTATTGACATGTTTGACATTTAGGGCTGGATTTTTTTTTTTTTTTAAGACAAGGTCTTACTTTATCACCCAGGCTGGAGAACAGTGGTGAGATCCTGGCTCACTGCAGCCTCCACCTCCTGGGCTTAAGTGATCTTCCTACCTAAGCCCCACAAGTAGCTGGAACTACAGGCACGTGCTACCACGCTTGGCTAACTTTTTGTAGATACAGTGTTTTGCCTTGTCATCCAGGCTGGTCTCAAATTCCTGAGCTCAGGTAATCCACCTGCCTTGGCCTTCCAAAGTGCTGGGATTATAGGCATGAGCCACCGCGCCATCCTGGATATTCTGTACATAGGCAGCTTCCGTGCATTGTGGGATGCTGAGCAGCATACCTGGCTTCCACCCACTAGATGCCAGTAACACCCTTCAAGTTTTGGGTTGCAACACCCAATAATGTCTCAAAACATTGCCAAATGTAGGGGGTCACAGTGGGGAGGGGAGGCAAAATCTCTGCCTCCTCATCAGAACCACAAGTTTATAGTGATGAAAAGTGTGGGTGTCTTCAGAGTGGGTTATCGGGGGGGGGATCTTTTCAGAAACAGAGCATGGCATTCATGCATGGGGCAATAATATGTGCCGGTGCTTACTGCTTGCCAGGCACGGTTCCAATTTTGCATGCAGTACCCCTTTTAATCTTTACAACAAACCCAGGAGGCAGGTACTATTTTCCCTACTTTACACATGAAGAAACCAAGCTTTAGAGAAATTGTCACAGTGATAAGTGATTTATCAGGGATTCAATCCCAGGGCCATTTTAGCCATGATGCTGTATTGCTGAGCACTACATATATGCACTTCTCTCTCTCTCTCTCTCTGTCTCGTTTTCTCTTTGTCTTGTTTTCTCTCTCTCTCATTTTCTCTCTCCCTCTCTCCTTCTCTCTCTCTCCCTCCCTCCCTCCCTCTCTCCCTCTCCAACAATGGGGCTATAGGCCTTTGCCTATCTATCTTCAGAACCTGGGAAGGTCTAGAGAGGAGAAACAGTCACTAATTGGCCAGAGCCCAGAACTGACTTTCAAAACACTTGAACTGACTGGAAAAGCAGACATCAAAGTACAGTGCCTTCTTCCATGTTCCCCCTCCTCAACCCAGGGGTCACCCTCTCCCAAGAAGCCTTCACCCTCTGTTGGCTTCCCCCTCCTCTCCTCAGTTCTCTGGGGAAAAACAGCTCCCCACTGCACACCCTGAGCCACAGCCCAGCACCCAGATATCAAAGACTCTGCAGCTGAGAGCCTAGGGGGCAGCTCTCACCATCAAAGGGAGCTGGTGGGGAGGTGGGGCGGGTGGAGTGTGAACAGGACTCTGAGTTCACATGAAAGGATGACATTGTCTCCTGATCCGAGGGTCACTTTGCATTTACTGAGGCCCCATGGAGAGTCAGCATCTGGTGGTGGGTTGCAGAGAGCACTGCTCTCTGGATCTTATCTCTCTGTTTGTAAATCGAGAAGGTGGGGCCACATGGTGTCTAAGAGAGGGTGTACCTTATGAGGCAGGAGTTTCTCAGCCCTGGTTTTGCATCAGAATCATCTGCCGAGAGAGAGATGCCTGCTGTCTGGCCCCCATTTCTGATGCAGTCAGATGTTTAAGATCTCAGGTGACTGTAATGCACAGCCAGGGTGGAGAACCACTGCACTTGCCTGAAAGAGCTTGAGGTTGGACTGATCTGGTGTTGGAATTCTGGCTTTATCACTTAGAGGTCCCAAGGCATTTATTTAATGTCTCTGGGTCTCAGTTTTGCAAATCTGTAAAATGGAAATGATGATATCTACCTCATAGGAGTAAAACAGGAAAATTAGGTACATTGGTAAAGTGACAGCCCAGGGCAGGCCGTCAGTGAGTCTTCACTCCCTTCTCGCTTTCTGTTAGGCAGGGATGTTCCTCACCTGTTGATGGACACTTGGATTATTTCTGCCTTCTGGCTATTGTGAATAATACTGCTATGAACATGGATATATAAGTATCTGTTTGAGTCCTATCACTGCTCTCAATTCTTTTGGGTAAACATCTAGAAGTGGAATTGCTGGAACAAATGATAAGTTTATGTTTGATGTTTCCTTCCATCCATGGATCCTCTTTTCCAACCTGAGGGCTTTGCATCTGTGAGTCCCTCTGCCTGATCTTGCCTCCTCTGGACCTTGCTCAGTTGACTTCTTATCTTTTAAGTGTTAGCCTAAATTCTTGTTTCTTCTGCAAAGCCTTCTTTGGCCCCCCAAACTAAATTATCCACTTTTTGATCTCTCTTATATTATTCTGTTCATTTGCTCTGTAGCACTTTCCATACTTTGTCATTATATAGCAAGTAACTTACTTTTCAAACTCCTGTTAAACTCCCAGTTCTGAGCTCAGTGGCTGGTACATAATAGCAGCTCAATGAAACTGTCTCATAAAGTCTCATAAACTGGCACTCATGTTTATGACAAGCCGAGGCTGAATGGGATGCAGAATGATGGTGT